>NW_025791787.1:170358-340717 GCF_000001405.40 Homo sapiens
TTTGTCCCCTAGACCAGACATTTGGCAAATTTATGCCAGGAAAAGGAAAACCAGAGAAAAATCCAGGGCAGACAGGCACACCTAGCTCTTGCTGAACCACGTAAAGTCACTGCTGAAAATGCTAACACTAAAGGAAAGTTGTTCAATGAAAAATATTTCCATGAATGTTAATGGGGAGACTTTTGAAGCGTTCCATCCCACCCAAGTGATTGAACAATTTTCAGATAGAAAAATAGGTCAATTGAACAATGAAAACAAGTTTATAAAAGCAATAGGCAATCCTTTGAAAACAAATAATAGAGTCTGTACAAAATATACAGCTTAATGAAGCTTCATGGTTCTGGATGAAGGAGAAAGCTAAGACCCGCAGGGGTGGGGGTGGAGCTGGAGGATGTGGGAGGATCTCCTGGTATGTGTGTCCTTCTGCGTCCGGAATTGGTGAGTTCTTCGTCTCACTGACTTCAAGAATGAAGCTGCGGACCCTCGCGATGAGTGTTACAGTTCTTAAAGATGGTGTGTCTGGAGTTTGTTCCTTCTGATGTTCGGACATGTTTGGAGTTTCTTCCTTCTGGTGGGTTTGTGGTCTCGCTGGCTTCAGCAGTGAAGCTGCAGACCTTCGCAGTGAGTGTTACAGCTCTTAAGGTGGTGGGTCTGGAGTTGTTCATTCGTCCCGGTGGGTTCGTGGTCTCGCTGGCCTCAGGAGTGAAGCTGCAGACCTTTGCAGTGAATGTTACAGCTCATAAAGGCAGTGCGGACCCAAAAAGTGAGCAGCAGCAATATGTATTGCAAACAGCAAAAAAACAACACTTCCACAGTCTGGAAAAGAGCCAAGTGCGTTGCCACTGCCGGCTTAGGGCAGCGTGCTTTTATTCCCTTATATGGCCCCACCCACATCCTGCTGATTGGTCCATTTTATAGAGAGATGATTGGTCTGTTTTACAGAGAGCTGATTGGTCCGTTTTGACAGGGTGCTGATTAGTGCGTTTACAATCCCTGAGCTAGACCCAAAAGTTCTCCAAGTCCCCACTAGATAAGCTAGACACAGAGCACCGATTGGTGCATTTACAAACCTTGAGCTAGATACACGGTGCTGATTGGTGTGTTTACAAACCTTGAGGTAGACACAGAGTGCCAATTGGTGTATTTACAATCCCTTAGCTAGACGTAAAGGTTCTCCAAGTCCCCACCAGACTCAGGAGCCCAGCTGGTTTCACCTAGTGGATCCCTCACCAGGCCGCAGGTGGAGCTGCCTGCCAGTCCTGTGCAGTGTGCCTGCACTCCTCAGCCCTTGGGCAGTCGATGGGACATGACACCACGGAACAGGGGGTAGCACTTGTCGGGGAGGCTCTGGTGAGCCCACAGCAGCGGGGAGGCTCGGGCATGGCAGGCTGCAGGTCCGGAGCCCTGCCCCGCGGGGAGGCAGCTGCGGCCCAGTGAGAATTTGAGCGCAGCGCTGGCAGGCCAGCACTGCTAGGGCACCCAGTGCACCCTCTGGAGCTGCTGGCTCGGGTGCTAAGCCCTTCACTGCCCGGGGCTAGTGGCGCCGGCGGGCTGCTCTGAGTGCAGGGTGACCCAGCCCACGCCTACCTGGAACTCGCGCTGGCCTGTGAGGGCCGCACTTCGCAGCCCAGGTTCCCACCCACCCCTCTCCCTCCACACCTACCCGCAAGCAGAGGGAGCCAGCACCAGCCTCAGCCAGCCCGGAGAAGGGCTCCTACAGTGCAGCCGTGGGCTGAAGGGCTCCTCAAGCGCACCTAGAGCACTGAGGCCGAGGAGGCACCAAGAGCCAGCGAGGGCTGCCAGCATGCTGTCACCTCTCACTTCCTTATCCATTCTTTCATTCTTTTATTCCTTTACTTTCTTAATAAACTTGCTTTCACTTTGCTGTATGGACTTGCCCTGAATTCTGTCTTGCAAGAGATCCAAGAATCCTCTCTTGGGGTTTGGATTGAGATCCCTTTCCAGTAACATCTTCCTGGTGACCATGGAAGGGACAATACTGGGGAACACCCCTGTCCCCCATCACCCAAAGGCTAACTTTGGGTAAGTGGTGGGGTCTGGTAACATCTTCTTGGCACACCACCAAAGGGACAATACTGAAGAGGTCCCTTACCCAAAGGAAAATCATCTGCATCTTTAGCTTGTTTCTTTTTTTTTGGTTTTGTTTTGTTTTTTTTTTTTTTTGGAGATGGAGTGTCACTCTGTCACCCAGGCTGGAGTGCAGTGGCGCGATCTCAGCTCACTGCAACCTCTACCTCCTGGGTTCAAGTGATTCTCCTGCTTCAGCCTCCTGAGTAGCTGGGATTACAGGTGCGTGCCACCACCCCAGGCTAATTTTTGTATTTTTAGTACGGACGGGGTTTCACCATGTTGGTCAGGCTGGTCTCAAACTCCTGATCTCGTGATCTGCCTGCCTCGGCCTCCCAAGGTGCTGGGGTTACAGGCGTGAGCCACCTCACCCAGCCAGTTTGTTTCTTTATTGACTAAGTTTTTTAATTTTTATTTTCAAAGAGCTAACTTCCTTCTAAAAGGTTTTGAATGTAAACGGATGTAACAGAAGATTTTTAAAATTTTAATTTGCCCTGCGGTTCTCTCCAGTCTTGTGGGTTTGTGTGGGCTTGTGGGTTCAATTGGCCAACTTCGGGTAAGTGGGGTGCACTTATCCTGGTAAAGGATGAGATTGGGTTAGAGGCCCAACTTAGGGTAGTCACAACCTCTCCTAAGACAGAGTGGGTGAAAGGCCCCTCTTAATAAAAGGCAAGGATGCTTGACTGAATTTGGGTTTGAGGCCCACCTTAGGAAGGTTAGAATGATTCCTAAGATTTAGGGGGTTAGAGGTCCCTCTCAGTAAAGTCCCTCTCAGCTAAGAATGAGTTTGGCCCTATGGGATGTTAACACATATTCTCTTTGGAATAATCTACCTTAGACTCTTTGCTGATGGCTGTAGGTGATGGGACTAGGCATTTACAGGATCATGGGACATGGGGAGCTTTTTTCTCCCCAAAAGGGGAAACTTGAGAGCTGATGGAACTACTAGAAAAGATCCCCTCAAGGCTGACAAATGGCCACCTGAACTTTCGATTCTGTGTTGCTGCAATGGATGGGTTTTTCCCTGGCCTCCCTGAACGCTTTGCCTTCCCACTCTGCCACAGGCAATGCTTTTCTCTCTCTCCATTCCCTTTCTTATCTTTTCTATTACTCAGGGGGACCATCTTGCCCAGAGACCACATGTTGAAATTTCTGGTCGGAGTTTGGATTAACGACGACGGGGCCCAGTGGAGTACAAGTTTGAGCAGTAGCAGTTTGATATTGGGTGCTAAGCAGGGCAGCTAGTGTCTGTTTTGTTGCATGTATTTTGTTCTCACCAGAATGGAAAACGATCATTTTTCTTTGTGTTGTGGCTTGGGCCCCAGGGCTGTGGTGCAGCTAGCTGGGTCACCAGGGCTGCTCAGGGAAAGGGATCCCAGAAGCCTGGCACGGTGGCCAAAGGGTAAGAATTTCTTACCAGCCAGACTTCTGGCCTCTCCCTCTCTCTTTCTGTGCAAACTGGTTGAATTAATGATAAAAATTACTGTTTATCCCCTCTGTAAGTTTTGATTAATGAAAAAAAAAGGATTTGTGAGGCTAGTCTTAACATATAGTGAATCTGATGTGCTCTGTGTGTCTTTCTGTATTGTTGTGTCATAAAGAGGATAGAACATGGGCCTAGGAACCTATAAGCCCAGTGTTAAAGGTGGTCTAGTAAACTGGTCAGTTATAAACTTTGCTGCAGGTTCCTGAAAACAAACTGGATGAGCTTCTCCTGCTGTCTTGTTCTATGTCCTTGGGAGCTTGACCTTGTAACCATGTGGCAGTATTTTCTATTGGTCTCCACCATAACAATGGCAGTCTAGGTTCAGGATTCCATTCCTGGCTTAGGGAATGAGTCCCTCATTTTCTGTCTGTCTGTGTATTTACATGTGTTGTGTGTGTGAAATGAAAGAGCTTTGATTAATTGGTTTAAAAACAATAAGAGCTAAAATCAAATATTTTTGTGAGAAAAGTAAAAAGTGTAATGCCTTTCAGTTCATGAGACTTTAGTAATCTTGAGGAAATAAAGGCAGTTTTAAAGATTATCGGTTAAATAAAGCTATCTTAAAAAATATAAACATTTGGTTGAAATGAGACAGATCAGATATTAAGTTTACTAAACACTTTAAGGTCACAAACTGCTTCTTTGACTTTTGAAAATTATTCAATTGGCTGACTTTGGAGCATTAGATTCTAGATAAGGCCTAGGGACATGTGGAGAGCCTTGCCCCTTAGCTATGCTGGAAAGAGTCAGCCCTTATCTGTACTTCTGTCTGATGTCCTAGGCTTCACACCTGGGACATAATTACCATCACTTACTAACCAAATTTTCACCAAAAGTAAAAGTTGCTAAGAGTTAACATTGTAACATGTAGTTGAGACTACTGAAGAAACAGTTTTACATGTAAGACATGTAAGGAAAGTAGAATATATTTTGGCCTAGAGTAAAAGGTTAAAGGATTGTTTTAAGTCAAATAGGGTAAAGCTGAAAGTTTGAGCAAGTTATGAAACATTCGTAGGAAAGTTAGGAAAAATTAAACTTGTGAAAAGAAATTCTATGTGTGAATGTGTTGGCTAAAGTTAAAGGGGTATTCAGTTTTTCCATAAATTGAATATTGGAATGAAAGTACAACAGGTTTTTCTTAAAGAACTGATCTTCTCTTTAATGAAGAAATTTTCAAGGGTTATAGAAGGTTTATGAGCAGGCATTAATGTTGGATAGATTTGTCTGTAAGGTTTTATTAAAAATTGGATTTAACATTAATAGTATACTAATGTAAAGGTGACATTTGGCTTACTTGGTGTAAAAATCATACAGGAAGCGCTGTCAAATATGAAATGGTATTTGGCTTTCTTTGGGCTGTATTTGTATAACTCTGTTATTGGTATGTGTTTCAAAATTATAGTAAACTCCTATAATTCTGATATAATTAAGTGTATGTTATTAATAATTATAAATGTTACATAAAATTATTGTATACCACAGAGGTAACAAAATTTCTTTGTCAATCGTGTTTTCCATTATGACTGCCCTAAAACATTTTGTCATTCACAGGCATTTGTTGTCTGTTTTGGTCCTCTTCAAAAGGTGGTTTTATAATCAACTCTAAAACTCTAACAGGTGTTCTTAAATGCAGGTTTCTGATAACTTTGGAGATTGTGACATTGGAATAGAGGAAAAACACTTTCCGAACTTTCATGGAGTGCTGCAATGTTCACGAATGTCAAGTAGAACAGGAGTTAACTGCATGGACTAAACTAATAAAAGCCTGACGTAATCTTTGTTAACCTTTTGCCTAAAACATTTCTGATCCTATTTTGTTTTTCAGAGATAAGGAAGGAAACTTTTCTTTCAAGCTATTTGTAGCTGAACAATTGAGTAAAGTGTACTTCTGTGAACAAAATCTGGACAATATTTGTTTTTCTCTACTTGATTTCTCTGGAATTTGGAAACTGTGAATATTCTTAACTTATGGCGATATAGTTATTTGCATAAGTGCAGTAAGAATCTGCTTTCTTTTCTAACAGGACACAATTGAAGAAACTCGTTATTTTACCAAGGCTTTTACTGGAATGGTATACTTTCCTTTAAGGAATCAGACTTAACTTGTAAAGCCAATAAAAGTCCCTTGGGAAAACTGGCCTCATATTTTGTCTACAACAGTCCCTATACAGGGTTTCTGACTTGTAGTAAGTAAAGAATGCCATTTTTTTGACAGGTCCAAGAGCTCCACGTTATCTTGGGACCTCAAGAGGAGAGGAATTTACCCAACTTATAGGTATTTGAGGGTATAAACAGGGCTGGGCTCAGCTTAAAAAAAAGTTTTATCTAAGATTCCTTCTATGGAACAGAGTTCCATCAAAGCCAATTTAGAAAGAGCTTATGTGAAAAATTATTCTTGCTGTATTTTATGCAAATAATCAGGCCAAGTATAATAAAGCAAATCGGTCATATCATAATTTGTCTTTAGTAAAAATGAGAAAATGGAGAGAGAAATATTGTGTTTCAAAAACTGTGTACACCTCTTATTAGATTCTAGTCTCATCAGATTTTATTTTTGTTTTTGTTTTTCTGTTTTTGTTTTTTCGAGACAGAGTCTCCCTCTGTCTCCCAGGCTGGAGTGCAGTGGCACAATCTCAGCTCATTGCGAGCTCCACCTCCCAGGTTCAAGCAATTCTCCTACCTCAGCAACTCCTGAGTAGCTGAGACTACAGGTGTGTGCCACTATGCCTGGCTAACTTTTTTTGTATTTTTAGTAGAGACAGGGTTTCACCATGTTGGCCAGGCTAGTCTCGAACACCTGACCTCAGATGATCCACCTGCCTCGGCCTCCCAAACTGCTGGGATTATAGGCATGAGCAACTGTGCCTGGCCCTCATCAGTTATTTTTAAGTTTTTTTTTCCCTGCAATTTAGACTAACCCTGTTTGTTCTTGTGAACCAACCAGTGATCTATAACTCCAGCTCAGAAGAAACAAGAGGATTGGGTAATGTAAAAATCTGGATCAATATTCTAATTCTGGGCATATCGTAATCAGCTAGCAACCCTGTATCTGCTTTGTTCCAACAATTGTTCAGTTCATGGAAAGCCTTCTAATTTAGTTTACTTGGAATAATTTTACTTTATTTTTCTTTGTTGTGGAATATATTGCTGTTATACTCTTTGTGTAGGAATGCAGAATAAGCTTACTCAACATTTTCTTAAATTGAACACTTATTAATCTTCCAGATATCACCTTTTGTCAGAACTCAAGAGTCACGAATGACCCTCAGCATACCAACACTTTCTGACTGAGCTCCTCTCTACCTGGAATACAAGAGACTCTACTAGTTAGGCAGGAGTATCATCGTCCCTATTCAGCATGAAGAAGTTACAGAAGATGGATTGTCATCACTCTGTAACCTTTAGGATAAAGGGTTCCCCTGTCCCTTTAAAAGGGACGGGGGAAATGTCAGAGGCGTTTGAACCAGAGCAATTCCATCTTGAATAGGGGCTGGGTAAAATAAGGCTAAGGCCTACTGGGCTACATTCCCAGATGGTTAGGCATTCCATCACAGGATGAGCTAGGTCAGCACAAGATAAAAGATATAAAGACCTTGCTGATATAACAGATTGCAGTCAAGAAGCTGGCTAAAGTCCACTAAAATCAAAATGGTGACGAGAGTGACCTCTGGTTGTCCTCACTGCTACGCTCCCAACAACACCACGACAGTTTACAAATGCCATGGCCACATCAGGAAGTTACCCTATGTGGTCTAAAAAGGGGAGACATGAATAATCCACCCCCCACCTATTTTTTAGCATATAATCAAGAAATAACCATGAAAATGAGCAACCTCAGGGCTTCTCCGTCTATGGAGTGAGTAGCCACTGTTTTATTCCTTTACTTTCTTAATAAACTTGCTTTTACTTAAAAAAAAAATAGCAAGATGGTAGCACAGAAAAACAAGGCAAAATAAAGCGTGCACCCAGAGTGCTTAAAAACAGGTGGAGATAGCATGGAGCACCCAACAAATGAAGGGGTCATGGGAACTCCGCCCCTTGGCCCTGGCCCCTGGTGCTCACATGCAAAGCAAAATGTTTGGGTTCAACCATCAAGGCCCCACCACCCAAACTGGTTTCACGTGATATTTTCTGATTGGACACTAATGTCAGCAAAAATTGGTGCATGTGTTGTGTCTTTGCTGGAAACTGTGAAGTCAAAACCTTTCATGTATTAATTTAATATGTTTTAAGGTGAAAAAAGTCATTATAGCAAAAAATAAGTCATCATCCATAAAGCAGTCTTACGTTCTGAGTCATAGCTGAGCAGCTGTGTTGTGTTGGGAAGCACCACTGGGGTGGGAGATAGGAGAGTAAGTGTGCACAGGCTGAACAGATGTGAGTGTCCATCACAGGTAATGTTGGGGTGGCAGCCCCTGAACTTGGGGTTCTGACTTCAACTGGGGGTAATTGATTCTCATCTTTGGCAAAGTTGCTCTTCTTTTAAAGATCAGGTTGGTTTGCCTTGTGGACTCTATAATGCTTGTAATTAGTTGGTTTTCCTTGGCCAGTAGTCAGTTCAGAATCCATGTGTGTCTACTTGGTGACCAAAGGCAGGCCACCCAGGTCACCCACCCACCAGGCCACTCAGAACTTCACCTTCCCTGCTGCCTCCTTGCCTTGGACTTTCATTTTCCTGTCTTCCTGATTTCTCTATCTTTGGGTCTCTCCCATTATGATGAATATATTTCCTCAAGCCTCTTCACTTATTTTTAGAGTAAGGAAGAATACAAGTGATAGAAACATTTTGTTGCTGCTTTGCATGAGGAAAAAAACAGCAAAAGAAGACAATGTTTTATTTCTTTTTTGAGAGGCCTTCATTTTTTATTAGGTTTATAGATCAGCCTTCCTTTCAAATAATCACTTCATATGTTTTTGTTGTTGTTGTTTTTCACTAACATTTGGCCAACTCGTCAGTTATGATGTATCTAAAGATTGGAAGCAAGATTTCCTAAAGTTCAGAAGTGAAACTACATGAACAAACATGGAGGGCTCTGAGTATATTGACCAGAGAGGAGGGGAAAATGCTGCCCTCTCCATCGAAGCCCCATTTCTTCTGCTCACATACCCAGGAAGGGTGGCAGGTGCAGTGAGGTTAGCAGTACCCCTGAGGAAAAGGAGAAATTCTAGACTGCTTTATATCAGAGCCGGGGATTGCCTGCCAGAAATAACTGAGACTGTCACCCTGATTTGGCCTCTGAAAGCATGTTCATTCAAGCAAAGGTGGTGAAACTATGCAGCCAGAAAGCACTTGCCTGGGGCTGTGGTTCTCAAACCTGAGACAGGAGAACCCCCCTGCTTGGCTACAGCCAGGGGCTCTGCCACAGCAGGTGTAGGCTGGGCTGGATCATCTGCATGTGTAACAAGTTCCTGGATGATGCCGTGTTGCTGGTCTGGTGTGTGGCTGTGCAGGGCATGGTGACTCTGCTGGACAGAACATACATCCTTTCCCTGTGTGAGTGTCCAAACTCCTGACATCAGCTGGTGGGTGGCTCAGGGGAAACAGTTCTCCCTGCTGCCTCCCAGCAGAGCCCCTCCGTACCCAACTCAAGCCAACCAGAAATATAGTTTTTTAAAAAAACTTAAAGGTTTGCAAAGAGGAGAATTCAGCTGTGAAGACTAGTAAAACAGACCAAAAGCTAGTTAAGAAGTCTGCTTCTAGAGAGAAAACTTGTCGTCAATTAACAAAAGCTATTTTTGCTTATATTGCTGATGCTTTTGTTGTATGTCCAAAAAATCATTACCAAGACCAATCTAAAGGAGCTTTTTCCTTGTTTTCTTCTAGGAGTTTTACAGTTTCAGGTTTTACATTTAAATAATCCATTTTGAGTTAATTTTTGTATATGATGTAAGGTAAAGGTACAATTTTATTCTTTTTTTATGTGAATAAACAGTTTTCCCAGCACTATTTATTGAAGAGACTATCTTTTCTCGATTGTATTCCTGGCATCTTTGTCCAAGAGTAGTTGACCTTATATGGGTGGGTTTGTTTCTGGGCATTCAGTTTGGTTCCATTGGTCTATATGTCTGTTTTTATTGTTCCATTGGTCTATGTGTCTGTTTTAACAGTACCTTGCTGATTTGATTACTATAGCTTTGTAATATAGTTTGAAATCAGATAGGTGATGACTTTAGTTTTGTTCTTTTTTCTTAAGATTGCTTTGGCTATTTGGGGTCTTTTGTGCTTCCATTTGAATGTTAGGATTGTTTTTCTTTTATTGCAGAATTATTCACAATAGCCAAGATATGGAACCAACCTAAGTATCTGTCAACAGATGAATGGATAAAGAAAATGTGTCATATATGTACAATGAAATATTTTTAAGCCATAAAAATAGAAGGAGATCCTGAAATTTGTAACAACACAGATGAACATGGAGGACATTATGCTAAGTAAAATAAGCCAGACACAGAAAGACAAATACCATATGATCTCACTTACAAGGAAAATCTTAAAAAGTTAAATTTATAGAAGCAGAGAGAAGAATGGTGGTTGCTAGAGGCTGGGGGCTGGGGGAAATGGGGCGATGTTGGTCAAATTGTACAAACTTGTAGTTGTAAGATGAATAAGTTCTGAGGATCTAATGTACAGCATGGTAATATAGTTAGCAATACTATATTGTATATTTGAAATTTGCTAAGAGATTAGATCTTAAGTGTCCTCACTGCCCCCTGTGCGCACACACCATGATAATTGTGTGAGGTGATAGATGTGTTCATTAATTGTATTATGATCATTTCACAATGTATGTGTATATCAAATCATCACATTGTATGCCTTAAATATATACAATTTTTATCTGGCAATTATACCTCAATAAGGCTGGGAAACAAAACCAAAAACAAACACCCCCCCACCAAAAAAAAAAAACAAGTGAAATCAAGAGAAGTTCGCACTGTCCATGGCAAGCAGTGGTAACAGGAAGATTCAGCCTATTCCCTGGGGATGAGTAATAACCATGGGATGAGAAGTGACCAGAAATAGCAAAGCACAGCCGCTTCTCCCAGCTGGTTTCAGGAAGCAGCAGACTCTGCGGTAGGGGCTTTAGAGCGCAGACCACGTCCCGCACGGAGCAGGGGAAATTGTCATTATTCAGGAGTGAAGGCTTCTCTGTACCATCTGTCTGTCCTTGACAGAGTATTCTAAATATTCCCCTTGATTTGAATATCTGCAGCATCCATTTCCCAGCCAACGAAGACAGTGTAGTGAGGAAGCAGACGTGTCGCAGGCTTCCTGGAACTTGCCCAGAACCTGGGAACCTGTACGGGTTCGTCCAGGCAGCATCTCTGCTTGCCTTTCCCTCCACTTGATTTTTACCAACATCAGCCTTTTCTGTCCCCAGTAGAATGTGCAACATCCCCCTGAACTCTGCCCTGCTCCATCTTCCTTGGAGGATCGTGGTTGCTCTGGGCACCATAGAGCCCCATGGATCCAGAATACTGAATGAGAAGAGGGAAGGGCTTGGGAAGTCATGAGGATCTAATGGAGGAGCTGGGGATGTGTCCTGTAGAGAGGAGAGCTCTCATTTCAGGCCTGTCCTTCCTTTTGCTCTTAAGGGCTCACTCACCCACGCCGTGCAGACTTTCAAGGGCCTCTGCAGAGTGAGAGATGTCATAGGCACAGGTTGCTCTTGTCCTGCATCATGGCAGGTGGGCAGGCTCCTGTCTGGGAGGCAGGCATCGTCCAGTCCAGGTGAGAAAAGCTCTCTCGAGGGACAGCCCCATGACAACGTGGGGCCGGTCAGGACCCCCTTGCATGCCTTTCTGAGAACACGTCCAGGTGGAGGCTGGTCACTGTCCGCCAGGGTCTTTGCTAAGGGACTTCCTTCCAATGGTAGAAGATAAAACTAAATTACCTTAACATTTCTTCTAACCTGGATTTAAAAACTTGATTTTGTGCAAATACCTACACTTACAAAAAATAAACCATTGAAATAATTATTTTAATAGAAAAAGAGAGACCACTGGCATGACAAAACTTTGAGGATAGCAAACAAAAGCCATAAAATATTTTTGTGAAGCAATGAAAAGATTCATACTTAAAAGATGAACTCTTTCCAAAGAAATAGCTAGACGTTTAGGGTATTGAAATGGAGAATATCTACCCTCCTACAAGTTTTACCCAAGGGGATGTAACTTCTGACAGGGTTCCTAAACTTTTAATGCAGAGTGTGCGCTTTGTGATTTAGTTTTGGTTAGTTTCTTGGGAAAATTATCATTTTTCTTCTAAAATAGCAACACTTGAAGTCTAATTTTTAATTATAACTTGTAGCTAAAGCTGTTTTCCATGGGAAAAAAATGTCTGATTTTATCATAGAAATCAATGCAGAAATAGGGTTTAGTTTCCTGGAGCTTACTTTGCAGGCTATGGAGCAGAACTATTCTTAAAGCCAATTGGAGAACCCTGGACTGATGGCCTCAGTCCCTGGGCGTCATCTTCCAGACTGAGCATGTCTCACTTTGGCATGGCCTTCTCTGTAGCTGGGCTGGTGGTCCAGTCATGGACCCCTGTGTGTGTGGGCCTTGAAGCCCACACAGCTTCCTCCAGATGCAAACGCATTACCACCCTTACAAAGCAGCAAGAACAAACCTGGGGTTTCTTTCGGATAGTTTTGAGGGTCTTCATGGGGAAAAAAATAGGAGGAGAACAAGTAGGCTTCTAAGAGACTCTAAAACATATTGAATTAGTGCTTCCCTCGGACACACTTGTCAACCAAGATATGCAGGTACTTCTGGAAGGCGAATCCCATCAAACCTCCTTCCAAATTTAAGAATGGAGCTGGGTAGAGCTATGTGGGTGTGCAGTGCTTCCCACCAACCAAACCACTCAGGACGCTGCTTCCCCAGTGATCAGCACCAGAGTTTACCTGGCACTTTCCACCTGGCCATGTCTGCAACTCAGAGCAGAGGCTAAGGGAGTCCGCCTGCACAGGACATTCAGAAACACGGGAGGGTTTCAAGGTTCACGCCTCTTTGGCATTTCCCAGGCTCCCCTCACGGTGTCGGCAGTGCCCACATCGCAAACTTCAGGAGATGGGAGCGAGAGGGGCCTGTTGGGTGACCAAGCTGTCATGGCTGCTGGGTTCCCTCTTTGCTGCCTGTCAGCCTCACCCCTGGGCATCCCCCACCTGCTGGTCACAGACTCCGCCTGCCTTAACTCTGGCTCTGAGGGGCAATAAATGAGCAGCATGGGTCCTTGGCCCGCAGGGAAGAGGGGGCAACCCTAGGGCTGTGATGTTATTTTATAACATTTATTTTTTTCTCGTTACAGAATGAATATGTGTTCATGGTGAAAAAATTGTAAGAATAGAACCAGGAAAAAAAATGGGCTATACCTATCCTGGCCCACTCAGGTCACCATCGTCTCCTTGCTTCTACTTCAAAGCCCCGTGGCTGCCTCCCGCCCAGTGGCGGGGCATCGTTTAAAAGGGACCATTTTTCTACTGAAGCCCCTCCATGCACTTAGTATGAAATCCAAATCCTCTGGCCTGGTGGACGTGCCCTCCTTCTTTCGAATGTTGTTCTCACTGCCCTTTACCTCTGTGCCCCTCATTGTCTGTGCCGTCCCCATGTGGGAGACATCCCGTCCCTTCAATCGTTAGAGCTGTGGAGAGCTGGCCCCGTACCCTCCACTCCTTTCTCTACGTTACACCTGCTTTACTCTCAGAACAGTCTTACCACCATCTGCAGTTATCGTTTTTAGTTACTTGTTCACTGCCCTTTCCCACTGAGAGGGTCAGCGTCATGATATCAGAACTTGTCAAGTCGGTGCTTCGTCGGCGAGGTGAGGAGAGAGCTCCTCGAGGTCACCTGCGGGTTGGGGATGTGACAGTTTCTGAGCGGCAGTGTTAAGTTGTCCTCCAAAGAGTCTGCACCAATTTCCACGTCCACCAGCATGCTCGGGAGCGTGTCCATTTTCTCCACCCCTTGCGAGGCCTGTGGGGATCTTGGACCTGGTTCCTGTGAGCAGCCTCTTGCGACAGCCATAGGTTGATGTTCACTGTCTGTGTGGGTTCTTGGTTACCCCTGCATCAAACATCAACTCTGTGATGAATCCACTTATTCCCAACCACTGCTTTTCAAAGTCACCCCGTCTTCCTTCCCCTTTCCTCTGAGTTTCCCTGAAAGAGATGAAATTTCTCAGAAGGATTCGGTTGCCTTTAAGGTGCCATGATGTGCCCGGTGGCCCTGAATTAAACACCACACCACATGGTTACACCCAGGCTGACTGGCTGCCCATGTGCTTCTCACGAACGGCACGTGCTCCATACTTGTGTGTGTTTTCTGCTTCCATCATCACTGCAACCCAGAGACAGAGTTTCTATATTTCCTGTTTTGCAGATGTAAACTGATTTTTAAGCTGCACAGCTACTAAATGCGTGAACCAGGATTTGAGTCTAATGTCTCCCTTGCATTTATGACTTCATTCATTCTGTGTCTATACCATGTGCAGCCCTGCTATGTGGGAGTGTGAGATGCACTGTGCCAAGTGCTGAGAATGCAATTCTGAACAAGACATACTTCCTGTCCTTGCAGAGTTTACACTTCAGTAGGGAGGACTGCCGTTAGACAAATAACTCTAAGCTTTAAATCACAACTGTAATAAGTACAACAAAGAAGAAATACAGAGAGCCATTAAAACATAAAACAGGGCTTGGGAACCATTCTAGGGATTCAAGGAAGGTTTGGAGAGAGAGTCCTGTAAAGGGGAGCTGAGGTGCCCCAGCCACCCCAGTCCCCAGCCCCCAGCCCCAAGACCTTTCAGCCCAGCCCATCCTCAGCTCAATTTAGCCACATGAGTGACCCTGAGCAAAACCAACAGAGGTCAAACCACTATAAGAAACACACACGATTGTTTTTAAGCCACTAAGTTTTGGGGTGGTTTTATACACAGTGATAGAAAACGAAAATAGAATTCAATGGCTAAACAGAAAATTACATCTTACATTTTTGCTTGTGGTCACTTGGACTGAAGTGCTCAGTAAAGTCAATGTTTTTGCAGCTCATTTGCTGCCATTATAAGACAGAATATAGCATATTAGCCATTGAAGCCCTCTAGGTCTTTAAGGGTAGAATGATTACTTTTACAGGCACTTGGATAAATGGAAGAAAAAGAAGTTCAAATCCCAACATATGTCCCCAAACCAAGGTCTTCCGAAGGTGTGTGTTAATAGAATCTCTTCTTCTTCCCACAGGGTGATAGTGGCCAAGAATCAGAAGTAGAGTTGGATCCAGTGGCTTGCCAAGCTGGGGGATAGAGGCATTGAATGCTGGAGTAGGGAGATATGAGGGGGATGGGAAGCCTCAGAGCACCTGAACCCAGCCACTTGCACGCATACACTCCCTATGTTTCTTTTTGAAGATGCTGTCATGTCCTGGCCGGAGAGAATTACCCTGAAAGAGGACAGATCTACAATTATGCTCAATCCTTGGGTGGGTGAATTTCAGAGTCAAATCACACGGGAGAAAACGTTCTGTGGTAGTTTTAACACGTCTGCATTTCCATGTGGTCTCGCCTTGAACCTGGGTGGGCCTTCGTGATGCTCTGTGACTTCTGAGGCTTGGCGAGCTGAGCCCACACAGCTGTGCCTGTTTCTCTTGGGACATTTGCTCTAGGGACCTCCAGCTGTCCTGTAAGAAGTCCAGCTATGCTGGGGCTGCTGGGTGACAGGAATACATAGATGAATGGGTGAGAGGCCTCACCAGTGGCAGCTTCCAGAAGTTTGAGTCTTTCAAGCCCAGGAGCCCGACATATGAATGAGGAAACCTCAAAGGCTTCTTGAAGATGTCCCTCCGTTGCTACCGTCTGACTGTAACCACACGAGAGACCTTGGTGAGAACTGTCCGGCTAAGCTCAGTCAAGCCACAGAATGAGGAGAGGTAATAATAGTGTGTGATTGTATTGTTCTGAGCCACTCTTTGGGGCTCAGAAAGCTGGAACACTCATTTACCAAATATACTGTGTGACAATGCTGGTTTACACAGGGGATATCTTGGTAATAGGTGTATAAACCTGTGCTAAGGGTTCAGAAAGCAGCAAGTGTCTTAAGGAAGAGGGAGGAGAAATATCACAAGACAGTGAGATGGCTGATTTTATGTGTCGACCTGGCTAGGCTATGGTACCCAGTTGTTTGGTCAAACACCAGTCTAGATGTTGTTGTGAGGGTACTTTGTGGATGGCATTAATGTTTACAATCAGTTGATGTTAATTAAAATAGGGTACCCTCCCCATAGTGTGGGTGGGCCTCATCCAATCAGTGGGAAGCTGACTGCAACACAGAAATCTTGCCTGACTTTCCAGCCTTGATCAAACTCAGGACTGCAACATCAACTCTTAGCTGAGTGTCCAGCTCTGTCTTAGAGTTGCCAGGCTTGCCAGCCTCCACAATCATGTGAGCCATTTCCTTAAAACCTCTCTAGATACAGATAGAGATATAGAAATAAATTAGATATCAGATGTAGATATAGATACAGACATAGATATAGAAATAGATTAGATATACAGATGTAGATACAGATACAGACACAGATATAGAAATAGATATACAGATGTAGATACAGATACAGACGAAGATATAGAAATAGATTAGAAATACAGATGTAGATACAGATACAGACATAGATGTAGAAATAGATTAGATATAGGTTAGACACAGATACAGATACAAATGCAGATGTAGATCTAGATACCCTATTGGTTCTGTATCTCTGGAGAACCTTGACTGATAAAACAGTAAAAAGCTTGGCACATGTGTGAACTTGGCTGAGGGTAATGGCAGCACATCCTCTCCAAAGGGAAGGACATTTTACTTGTCCTCGCACCCCCATTGCTAAGAAGGAAATATGATTCTGGTTTGGCTTCTTTAAAATGCAGTGGCAGGCCAAGTGTGATGGCTCACGCCTGAAATCCCAGTGCTTGGGGTGGCTGAGGCAGGAGGATGGCTTGAGGCCAGGAGGAGTTCAAGATCAGCCTGGGCACATAGTGAGATCTTGTCTCTACAAAAAAATGTTTAAAAATGCAGCGGCAACAGGCACAAAGTTTGGGTATGTCTGTGGGTTCACCAGGAGGCTGGCAGCTGTAGGTGAAGCTCAGAGACACAGCAGGCTCTCCAGCTGGACAGGGAAGCATAGCCATGGCTCTGCCATGGGCCTTGGAGACATTGCATGTCCACGTGGCTTAGGGTCCTGTGTGGAGTCTCTGGCCATCCCATAGGGAATCACAGGGCAGCCCCATGGCATTTGAAGCACATCAGAACCATCGCAGCTTCAAGGTGTTTCTATTGCTTCAAGGAACTTAATTCTGCCAACAACCACGAGAGCTTGGAGGAGGACCCCAAGCCTTGTGTGGGACCCAGCCCTGGCTAGTCCTTTGACTGCAATCTTGTGAGTCCCTATGCAGAGATTCCAGCCAAGCTTTACCCAGACCCCTGACCAACAGAAACTGTGACATAGTAAATGAGTGTTTTCTTTTTATTTATTTATTTATTTATTTTTTGAGACAGGGTCTCACTCTATCGCTCAGGTTGGAGTGCAGTGGCATGATCTCTGCTTGCTGCAACCTCCACCTCCTGGGTTCAAGTGATTTTCCCATCTCAGCCATCTAAGTAGCTGGGACTATAGGCATGTGCCACCATGCCCGGCTAATTTTTGTATTTTTAATAGAAATGGGGTTTCACCATGTTAACCAGACTGATCTTGAACTCCTGAGCTCAAGTTATCTTCCAGCCTCAGCCTCCCAAAGTGCTGGGATTACAGATGTGAGCCACTGTGCCTTGCCATAAGTGAGTGTGTTAAACCACCAACTTTGTAGAAGTATGTTATGCAGTAATATAAAAATAATACAAATCCTAATTAACCATACAGCCTTGGCTGCTGATTGAGATTCCAGCATCCTCTAATTCATTTTTTGTTAAAGTTGGGAGTATGCACAAGCACTTGTCACCTGGTGGCATTGGTAAATACTGGATGGGGCTTGGCCATTCCCTGAAGGCATCAATTCTCACTCACTCTCTCTGTCTCTGCAAGCTAAAGGGGAGCCAGATTCTCTCTCACCTGCCTCCTGAAAGCTGGCTTGGGGTTAAAAATCTAGGCCAGGGCAGCTGGAAGCCCCCACCAGGGGTTCTTTATTAATGATGCAAAGATGCTGGGTAACTTAGAGACCGTTCCTGGGGGAGGTGGCTGAGGCAGGAGGGTGGCCTGGGGATGGGGGGAGACTGTGGTGGTGGCAGTGATTCCTCCTGGAGACAGGAGACTCCTCTCACTGCTTGTGCCCTCAGCTACCCACCCCTTTCTGCTCCTGTTCTGCTTCTGAGCCTGGCTCTCCTGATCTCCCCTCAATTCCATGAGTTGCCTACTAGTCTTCCAGTACATTGCTGAAGTTAGCATCTGTCTGCCTCTAAGAACCCTTCCCAATTCAGCTGAGAAGTGCTGGCTCCTCTGCCCTCCTTACTTTTTCTCATGTCTCCTTACTTGGATAAGTATTGGGTTTCTCAGATTTGATCAATGACATCTCCATAAAGCTATCCAGTTGTTGTGTCTAAAATGAAGGCCAACTCAAAGCAGAAACTGTGTGATTTAGTGCTGCTGGGATAGGCGGTTCTCTTATCTAGGTCCCTGTGTGGCCTGGTACAGCTTGCCCAGACAGCCTGCTCTGATCATGCAGTGAGGAAAAGAAAAAGTCTTTTTTCTGCTTGAGAGAAGCTTCTTCCTTCTTTCTGCTTGAACTGTCATTGCTTCTTCTCCCTCTGTGGGGCTATATCTGAAGAATAGGTGATATTTTATATACAGAACAGCATGAGATTTCTCCAGAAGCAGAAGAATAGCAATGTCCTTAGTGTGGAGTGAACTAGCACCTGAGTGATATTCATTACAGAAATGCGTTTCCAGAAGGGACCAGAAATGTCCCCTTAATGGAAAGAAATTGCTGCTACGTTAGGATCAAAGATGAAAGGGGAAGGTAATGCGTGCTTAGAAGGAGAGCTTTCCATCTCACACACTGTTCGTGTTGGCTGCAGAACTGGAGGGTGTCACAGGCGTCTAATGGATATATGCTCCCTGGGCACCACACACTGGGCCCTTGACCACTGCTAGAGCATGGAGGAAGGGGTTTGGGGGGCATGATGAAGAAAACCTGACTTGTTGTATTCATTAGTGCTTCCATAAGTCAACTTTCTGTAAAAGGCTGCATAATAAATATGTTAAATGGACAAAAGATTTTTATGGGAGTATTTTATCACTGACATTATTTAGGTCTGTTGGCTCAGGATGTTAATAAAAAGAAGACCCATATGAAGTCACAATTCTGGTGAGTGGAATGAGCAGCCCAGGGGAGCAGAACCCACAGAAAATGTTCATTTTGACTGCGAAGTAGGTAATAGAGTTTATTTACCTCTAGGCTGGAAGCCAGAATGTAGACAAAAGGCATAACCCAGAAATGGACTTCGGAGTGGGTCATTAAGCCACAAATACAGCCCAGCCACTGAGTGAGGAAGAGCAAGGGCTGAAGCCTTGATGGCTGAAATAGAAAAGCCAGAGCTGGCAGAATTTAGCATCACCTGAAGTCCACTAGACCACTGGGAGGTGAGGCCCCCAGGCCCAGGTCAGCTGCCCAGGACATCAGCACTTTGTTTGAAGCTGAAATTTTCTCTTAACTGGAGCTTCGATTTTTGAATTGAAAAACTCAAGCCAAAAAAGAAATTTACTTTTTCAGATACAAGAAAAAAGAATGGTTCAGAACTAGGTGTACACACTGTAATTCATTAATAGATATTATAATAAAGCAGGAAGGTGAGTTTGACACAGTCATTTTCCCATTTAATTATTATTAAACACTGAATTCACATGAGAAAATTAATTCTGCAGAAAATTTTATTTGGTTAAGTGAATACCGATGATAGAAAGAGTGATCAGCAGGCCAGGCATGGTGGTTCACACCTGTAATCCCAGCACTTTAGGAGGCTGAGGCAAGAGGATCACTTGAGGCCAGGAGTCTGAGACCACCCTGGCCAACATAGCAAGACCTGACCTCTACTGAAAATACAAAAAATTAGCTGGATGTGGTGGTGCATGCCTGTAATCCAGCCACTTGGGAGGCTGAGGCACAAGAATCGCTTGAATCTGGAAGGTGGAAGTTGAAGTGAGCTGAGATTGCTCTGCCGCACTCCAGCCTGAGTGACAGAGAAGGATTCTGTCTCAAAAACAAAAAACAAACAAACAAAAAAACAGTGATTAGCACTGCAAGTGGCATTGTAAGGTAAGGAAGAATAAGAAATGGTTTGCACCTGGCTGGGGACCAGGCAGGGCCAGTGGCAGCATCTCAGTGTGTTCCTGCGCCCATCACAGAGCCTGGATGTGCTGCAAGTGAGCAAACATCCAGGATAGGATGTGAAAAATGCCAGAATGAGTGACTGGGATGCTAAGTGTAGTATTAGTTTAGAGAGGTGGGGAATAGGTTGGTGTTTTAAAAAATATTGTATTCAAAGAATAGGTGGGAATTAAATCAGAACCTCAGAATATCTGGGAAGGAGCCCTGAAATGTTATTTGTTCTGGGCCTTGTCTGGTGACTATTCAGTCTACTTTTTAAATAGTCCTTAATTTAAAATACAATCTTTTCTTTTGTAGCTGTCACCCTTGGGTGACAAGAGGCTCTGCCGCTTGGAAATCTATAAACAGAATGATGGTTCTGCATGGCAGCCATTTAAATAGTTGAACCCAGCAACTGTATCTCCCTTTCCCTCCCTGGAGGCCAACATCTCCGGTTTCTACAAATGTGTCCATGTGGCATGGTGCTCAAGACCTCCTTGTCCCTCTCTGGGTTCCTAGAACTGAACAGGTACTACAAGAGGTGTGAACTTCATCAAGCGCAGAGGGACATTCACCTCTTGTGGCCAGATCAGTGGATTGCAATATGGCGGCCATCAGAATCAGCCCTGGGGGCCAACCTGGGGCTTCTGGGGTAACCGGTCTTGGGAGCAGGCACCTCCCATGATCCCAACGTGCAGCTTTATCAGCCCAGCTCGTGGATGGCTCCTCTGAGTTTACTGTTGATGAAATCGCCCTGGCCAGTACTTGAAGTGTAAGCTGCAGTTGTTGTGTCTTTATTTTGTAATTTTGCAATTGATTGATTGGACTATAGGAGGTTTTTTTGGGGTGTCTTCTCAGAACAACTGTCCCTCCTCACTGCCTGATATGGTAGTGGATTTGACCACGCTGGGGGCCCATGGGTGAGCTGGTCAGAGGCCCAAGATGCATGTGGCAGTGCTGAGAAGGACAAGTGAAGTCACTCCAACCCCTTCTCTTAGGATTTGTAACAGGGTGTCTGGTGGTGGGTCTTGGAGCTGGGAGTTCACATAGATGCTGGTAGCCATTTGAGGCCTTGTGCAAAATGGATAAACAGAAAAATCCACAGGGTTGGCCATTTTAGTGGTCAGTATGGTGGCAAAAGTAATATGCATGTGTAATATTGTGTGACATAATGAAAAATCATTGTTTCAAATGTATTCGCTGACATTTGTCATTAATAGCTGCACTTGGAAATTTTTTCATGTCCTTTACAGTGGTTTCAAAAAAGTTCTTTTTAAACTGGTATCTATGGCCTTGGGATTTATGTATCCACTCTTATTAATCTGTGCATCACATAAGTGCAATGATATGACAGCTTACTGAATTAGGGATCTCAAAATGTTGACCTCAAAGACAGGCGCTGTTAAATCAAAGATCAGAGCTTCCAGTGAAGTTGGCCCCAGATGGTCTCTCTTTTTTTTTTTTTTTTTGAGACGGAGTTTCACTCTTGTTGCCCAGGCTGGAGTGCAATGGCATGATCTTGGCTCACCGCAACCTCCGCCTCCCGGGTTCAAGCTATGCTCCTACCTCAGCCTCCCAAGTAGCTGAGATTACAGGCATGCGCCACCACACCTGGCTAGTTTTTTGTATTTTTGGTAAAGACGGGGTTTCTCCATGTTGGTCAGGCTGGTCTCGAACTCCCAACCTCAGGTGATCTGCCTGCCTTGGCCTCCCAAAGTGCTGGGATTACTGGCGTGAGCCAACGCGTCCGGCCCCCAAATGGCCTCTTGAGGACCTTTGAGACTTGCTCCTGACTAAGGGGGAGTTTTTCCTGGAAATTGTAATCTCTGATCATTGAAACTACAAGTTATCAAGCATCTTGCTCCACCAACCCTTCTGCCAGGCCCTTCACATATATTAATCAATCTGGTGAGTTTTTAGCACAAATAATCACTATACTAAAAAAAATACGCATAGGAGGGATATACACTGAAAAAATGATTTGTTGTTTAAATTTGAACTTAACAATTTAACTGGGTGTGGTGTCTACTTATTTGTTAAGTCTGGCAGCCTTACGGGATGCAGGACAGAGTGCTAGCCTCACTGGGTTTTGTTAAGTTCTTCCTAGCAGAAAAAGACTAGCCCTTTGCTGCGATGATGCCTCCCCGTTGGGGTGCGGCTGGTCCGTTTGCGAGGGAGGTGGGAACATTTGACTCCCGGCTCATCTCATGCCTGGCACCAGGCAGGTCGCGCCAGCGCTCTGGGGCCCTTCACCTCCCCAAGTGCGTCTGACTCGCTTGGCCTCTCAGGGGATGAGAGAGGCTTTGTCAGAGCCGTGCCTCATTTGCCACTTCAGAGCTTCATGTCTGTTGACATTGCAAAATAGCAGAAGAATTCGACAACAGGCCTTTTCAGAATGTGCACCACGACTGGACAAAGGGCAGTCCTAAGTGGGTCAGTGGCTGCCCTGGAGAGTTTTCCGGGTGAGGAATCACATCTGTTTACTCAGCCTTCACATGACCTCCATTCTGCCCACCTCCGCTGCCCACTCGGCCGACTCAAAGGGACAAAGGCGCCGGGTGTGTCCCTCCCTCACTGCGTTGGCGTGCAGCTCCAGTCCCTGCACTGAGGGGCGCTGTGTGGGAGGCTCCCTGCATGGCCTCTGACACTTTCCAGTTCAGTGGCATTTAGTACCAAGTTAACGCATCAGTTGTCGGGGAGGTCCGGAGAGCCTCCGCCTTGTGTGTGGTGGACGCTCACCTGAGGCTGGAACGCAAAGGGAGTAGAGCCTTCAAAAGGCTTCTCAAGGCCCTCCTGCCACTGTCTGCGGGGAGTGGCCACATTCCGCGCTA
This sequence comes from Homo sapiens, assembly GCF_000001405.40. Taxonomy (NCBI): domain Eukaryota; kingdom Metazoa; phylum Chordata; class Mammalia; order Primates; family Hominidae; genus Homo; species Homo sapiens. The sequence goes on from NW_025791787.1 coordinate 193,106, forward strand.
AGCAGGCCTCTGCGTTAACACTGTCAGCTTGCGAGGGCCTAGCAGGGGACAGGACATCTGCAGAGGGTGTGCGGTGCCGGCATGGCACCTCGCTGCGCTGTGGAGGCAGGATGGGCTGGCCACTGCAGGGTTGGTGTGGGGCCGGGGACAGTTCACAACCAACAATCAAAGGTCCCTGTTGGGGGAAGCTCCTGAAGGTTGGCACTGCGCCAGCCCAATGTTTTGTGTAGCAGAATCTTCCCCTAATTAATTTATCTAAAAGAGAGTGGCCCAGGAGGTTGAGATACTCCAAAAATTTTCATATTAGTGACATGGGCAGCCTTCCATTATAGGACCATAGGACAAAGCTGTTGCTCTTGGATGATGAGTCACAAAAGCCACAATTTTTTTTTACATCAAATTATTTATAATTAATGATCGTTTGCAATAAAGACATAAATAAGCAATTTATGCCAGAAAGAAAAACATCCAGTAACATAAAGCTAACCTTACTTGAAATCAAATAAATTCATATTAAAATAAAATATTTCGCTTATTAAATATTACTTAAAGATCATAATACTCGGAACTGAGAACCACGTGGAGAAAAGAGCCATATCCTATATTGCTGGTGGTAAAATGTTTGGTATAATCATTTTAAAGCACAACTTGGTAGCCCATACCCAAAACCTTAAATATGTTTATATTCTTTGACCCAGCAGTTCCACTTCCAGAAATTACTCCGGGGAAATAAATATGGATATGAACAAAGTTTTAGATACAAAGAAGTTCATAGCAATAAAAAGGTTGTAAATTCCAGTGGTCAATAAATTATTGTATATCCATACAATGGAATATTTAAATAACAATGCAGATGTAGAAAAGCAACTGTATATGAATAGCCAAGAAAATTCTGAGAAAGATAAAGGAACGGAGTTTGTTATATGAGCACATACTACAAAGCCAGACATTAAAACAGCGTGGTATTGATTCAGCAAGGATAGATAGATAAATGAAATAGAGAAGAGTTCATAAACAGAACCATTTATATATGTGTGTATGCAATTTTGTTTGATCACGAGGTGTATCAAAATAGTAAGAAGAGGTTTTGGAATAAATAATTATCCATTGAGACTCTTACTATAGTCTCAAAAATAAATTCCAGGTGGATTTAGAGAACATCAACTGTAAACAGCAGAGAGGAATACAGAAGAGAGAAACATTTTCACCCTTTGCAGCTGGGGAAGGATTTCTGAAGCAAGACACAAAGCCAGAAGCTGTGGCAGAGACTGCTACATCTTCATCAAATGATGCCCCATTTCTACAGGCACACAGGAAGACGGCATCTCCTACCCTTCCCTGTGTCTGGGTGAGAATATGTGAGTGAGTTCTGCCTGGTGGAAAGTAGGGGAAAGGGATATGTACCCTGCCTGGCACAGCTCTCACTGACTTCTAAGTAGTGTTGCCTGCTCTGTCTGTCTCCCATGGCCAGGGGGAACACCTCTGGGATGGCAGAGAAAGAGCTCAGATCCCCGAGTCACTGCCTAGAGGAGAGCAGCCAAGAATGGCTGCTGGAACAGAAACATCTGCATTAGAGATAAAAATAATGTGTGCATCTACTTACAATAGCAAAGACTTGGAACCAACCCAAATGCCCATCAATGATAGACTGGATAAAGAAAATGTGGCACATATACACCATGGAATACTATGCAGCCATAAAAAAGAATGAGTTCATGCCCTTTGCAGGGACATGGATGAAGCTGGAAGCCATCATCCTCAGCAAACTAACACAGGAAGAGAAAACCAAACACCACATGTTCTAATTCATAAGTGTGAGTTGAACAATGAGAACACCTGGACACAGGGAGGGGAACATCATACATTAGGGCTTATTAGGAGGTGGGGGGCAAGGGGAGGGAGAGCACTGGGACAAATACCTAATGCATGCAGGGCTTAAAACCTGGATGACAGGTTGATAGGTGCAGCAAACCACCATGGCACATGTATTCCTATGTAACAAACCTGCACGTTCTGCACATGTATCCCAGAACTTAAAATGAAAAAAAAAGTGTGTGTGTGTGTGTGTATGTGTGTATTCATCAGGGTTCTCCAGAGAAATAGAACCAATAGGAGATACAAGGGGAAATTTATTATTCGGGGTATTGGCTCAGAGGATCACAGAGGTGGAGAGGTCCCACAATAGGCCATCTGCAATCTGCAGAACTGGAGCAGCAAAAACAGTAGCATGGCTCAGCTTGGAAGTCTCCGAACCAGGGAAGCAGGTGCTGTAGCCATCAGTTAGAGGCCGAAAGCCAGAAAGCCCCCAAGGGTGAGAGAGGGAGAGACAGAGAGAGAGAGAGAGAGAGACAGACAGACAGACAGAGACAAACAGACAGCAAAGCAAGCTGAATACCCACTTCTCCCAGCTGCCATGTCCTGGATGGTGCTCGCCCACATTGTGTGGGTTTTCCTCTCCAAGTCCACTGACTGACATGTCAATCTCTCCAGGAAACACCCTCGAACAATGCTTCACCAGACGTCCAAGCCCTCCTCAATCCAGCCAAACTGACACCCAAAATTAGCCATCATTGTGTGTGTGCATGTGTGAAGTCACTGACAATGGAGTTTACAAATAAATCCACAGCTAGAACTAAGAAATAATAAAAAGAAAGATTGTCGGATTTGGTCGCATGAAAATTTAGATGGCCAGGCATGGTGGCTCACACCTGCAATCCCAGCACTTTGGGAGGCCAAAGCAGGCAGATCTTTTGAGGTCAGGAGTTTGAGACCAGCCTGGGCAACATGGTGAAACCCCATCTCTAAAAAAAAAAAAAAACAAAAACCAAAAAACAAAAAACCAAAAATACAGAAATTAGCCAGGCGTGGTGGCACACACCTGTGGTCCCAGCTACTTGGGAGGCTGAGGCAAGAGAATCACTTGAGCCAGGGAGGCAGAGGTTGCAGTGAGCGGAGATTACACCACTGCACTCACTGCACTCTAGCCTGGGCCACAGAGAGAGCCCATGTCTGAAAAAAAAAAGAAAAAAAAAAAGGAAAAAAAAGTTAGAACTTACATATAGCAAAATAGGAGATAAGCAAAGTTAAAAGACAAGTAATAGATTGGTAGAAAATATCTGCAACATATTTAAAAGATAAAATATTGGTAAAAGAAAAGTGCTCCTATAAACCAATAATAAAAGGTAAAACAATTAAATAAAAAATAGGTGAAGAATAAAACAAAGATATTCACAAAAATAATATAAAGGACAAATATGAAAATATGATCTACTTTATTTCTAATTATAAAATGCAAATTAAAGCCACACTATACTCAGTAATTTGCTCATGCGATTGGGAAATTTTGAAACATTTCATTATATTCAAACATTTGCAAATTATGTGGGGAAAGAGGCATCTATATGCTGCTTAGCTTTTTTTCTGAATTGTTTTGGCGGTATGTTGCAAATAAAAAATGTTTTGACCTTGAACACATCAATTCCACTTTTCAGAGTCTCCAGTAAAGGAGAAGCTTAAATAGATTTGGACACCTTCCTATATGGCATATAATACAGTGGTATTAAAAAAAACTCAACTACAAGGAAAAAGCAGAGGTTTTTTTTTTTCCCACATTGTTACGCAAAATGCCTTGCAATATTCTTTGTATTTCTTCTATTTATGTAAATTTTCCCCAAAATGTCTTTGGTGAAATATATAGGTATGTCAGCATGTGTGTAAGGGAGTACAGGGTGTGGAGGGAAGGGCCACCACCAGGGTGGAGACAGCTAGGGGTGGTGTAGGCAGTGGAGGACAGAGTAGCTGTGAGTCTGTAGGCTTCTGGATTGTTTGAGTCATGTTACAAGAATCTGCTAATGTATCATTTGTAAAATTTAAAAAGAAGAAGATCAGCTGAGGTCAGGAGTTCGAGACCAGCCTGACCAAAATGGTGAAATCCCATCTCTACTAAAAATTCAAAAAATTAGCTGGGCGTGGTGGTGGGCACCTTTAATCCCAGCTACTCTGGAGGCTGAGGCAGGAAAATCCCTTGAACCAGGGAGGCGGACGTTGCAGTGAGCTGAGGTTGCACCACTGCACTCCAGCCTGGGCAACAAGAACGAAAATCTGTCTCAAAAAAAAAAAATGCTGTAAGTTCTAAAAAGTTCATGGGAATGAAAATGTACAAGTAGAGGAACTGGCATTAGAATGATAGTAACAAAAGCTGTATAACAACAGGAAAAATGTCTATAACATGATATGAAAAAATTAAAATTATGGATATGCTATGATGGTTAAATAGAGAACATATTTGCCTGGGAACAAAAAACTGAGAGGAAATATTGCAGGACCCTGGCTGATTTTTAAAATCAATTTTCTAAGCTTTTATTTAAGTATTAAAATGCAGTTCCTCTCTCCCTACACCTTGTTTCTTGGAGGAAGACAAAGGTTTTTCTGGTCAATGTTTAACAACCCTGGGAGGGCAGGTGGAGGAGCCCTGATTTGCAGTACCTGCCAATTTCTGTGGTGTAACTATTCTCACAATAGCTGATTTCAAGCTAGCAACTCAATGTCAACCAGCTTCTAAAATTCCTGGCAAATTAAAAATTGGCTCTCACCAACTCATATGAGCTGGCTCCAGTACATCATTGAAGATGGGATGGGGGTGCATAAAGCATGTCTTCTCTTGAATTTCTTGTTTAAGAAGATGTTTCAGGATGACTTGGGATGTTTCAGGATGTTTTTGGATGACTTACAGTAGTTAATTGAGTGTGTGTGTGGTTTGGGATGTCAACTGTTGTGGGGGCTGGAGTACTTGGGCATGTAACAGAGATAATATTTAAGAGAAGATTTTTGGACTTATCTTGTGTAAGTTTTTGCTCTGAAATTTCCCACCCTTCAGAACAATGGGATTCAGTGTGCTGGAGACAGGCAGTGATGAGCTAGACTAAGACATGGCTCAGTTGAGACTGTAGGTGATGATAGTGATGGTGATGGTGATAATGGTGATGGTGATGATGGTGGTGATGATGGTGATGATGATGGTGGTGGTGGTGGTGGTGGCAATGATGGTGATGATGCTGGTGATCATGGTGATAATAGTTATGATGATAGGTGATGATGGTGGTGATGATGATGGTGGCAATAATGGCAAGGATGATGGTGGTGATGATGATGGTGGCAATAATGGCAAGGATGATGGTGGTGATGATGATGATGGGAATGATGGTTGTGATTATCATAGTAATGGTGGTGAAGATGATTTTGACTTCACATCCAGATAATGGGTCCAGAGCTAACTATTTTTGAGAAAAAAAGGATTTTGAAAATTTACTGACTATATCAAGAGATAAATTTGGTGGAGTAGATCACAAAGATCCATGTATGAGAGGTTCCAACTAGGAAGAAGAAGAGGGCAAGGCCCTCCTTCTGGCACGTTGTGGGAAGAAGAAAAGAGACAGAGGCAAATGGATGAGTTTGAGCACAAATGGAACATCAACTGTGAAAGATACGTAGCAAGTATGACAAAATTTATGAAGTTTGGGTTGTGAGTGTATGGATGTCCATTATAGTTCAGTGTGTTTTAAATATTTTCTCATTTACAAGTAGATCACATAAAAGCAAGTCCTGTCTGCAAAATCACTATATTTATTCAATATATTCAAGAAGGCCATATCTCATATTCATAATTTTGAAGATCTCATTATCACTGTACTTGCAGCTCAATTCTGTTGCAGTAAAATGAGGACAAGTGGGTGAGCAGCTAGGAGAAATGAAGGCAGGCCTAATTGATAGTTCAGTATCTGTTTGCCAAAGAATTTTGAACCTGAACTTTGTAACTCCCAACGTTGTTCAAGCATAGTTTGCATGGGCTGGAAGTGACAAGGAGTTGAATATAGAGCTTTGACCACAACTGCTGAGGCTGGATGCTCAGTTTTGGCCATGTCCACAGAAAAGGGGAGCCATGTGGTGTGCTTTGATGGGGTCCAGGTACCCAACTTTTGAGGTAAAATCTCTACGAGATGAAAGCTGATCAGTATTCATAGCAAACAACTGGAGTCTGCAGAACATGGTTGGGGGCAAAGGCAATTTGGAAATCTCTATATGGCTAATGGGGGTCTGCTCAAGCACTCTTTTGGTAATTTGTGTGTAGCTAAAAAAAAATCCATATTGATTATTTAGTTGCCAAAGCCTCAACACACAGAATTGGCACAGATGAAGAGGGAAAGGTACATGCATTTGTGTGGGTATATGGGTGTGTGTGCATGCATGCATATGCATATATATGTGTGTATATTGGTATGTGGGTATGGTATGTGGTATGTGCCTGTGTGTTTGGGGTGTGTGTGATGCATATGGTATGTGCATGTGTGTGAGCACACCCACAGGCAACTGTGCAGATTGAGAAGTCATTTCCCTTCTTGTACCCTGCCCAGTGGTTTGGACATAAACCCCAGTCTCCCTACTGTTTACACCTCACCTTTCCAGTTAGGAAAATTCCAATGTGAGTGGCAATCAGAGAGTTAGGAAACATGAAGCTGAGTTTTCTGTCATGGATTTGGCTATAGTTAAAAATGATCACAAGGTGATTGGAGATTTTTTTTTTCTTGGTAGTTTCCATTTGAGGTTAAGTAAATACAGGTATTTGGATTGGACTGGATTTTGTTTTAGGCTCAGCAATTTAGGTGAGATAAGAATCAGGGGTTACTTCTGTAATGAGGAGAAAAGAAAAGACACCAATTTGTAGGGGTCTGTGGCCCCTGTTATCACCATCCCCACTACAAGGGTGGGTGCAAGGCAGGTGGTGGGATAGGGAGAGTGAGAAAAGAAAGATTTCTGGGTCAGATGGCTGGCCTTACTGTTTAATTTTTTTCAGATAGAATCCAGGGAATGTTGGAACAGAACAATGGGGAAAAATCCCCAAATAACACAAAACAAAACAAAACAAAACAAAACATAACAAAACAAAACAAAACACCAACCTCAAACAAAAACAGAAAAGTTAAAAAACCAAGGAGGGAGGAGGGAGAAACAGGGGCCTGTGTAAGCTGGATTTGTATGTGTTTGGGGAGCTTGGAAGAGAAAGGACGAAATGTCTGGGGAAATCCGGGTGTGAGAGAGACATTTCAAATGAGAGAGATGTGGAATTTTAAAGAGGTGTTTTTTTGTGTACTATGACAACACTTTCTTTTTGGAAATCTTAATAGGTTGTAGTAAAATGTTGAACCTTTAAAAATTTTTGATGGGACTGAATTGATGTTTAAAATGCTACCTTCTGCTGAGACGGGGCCACAGGATGGCTGGAATGCATTTAAGTTTACTTTGAATCGTCAGCATTTACTGAGCACTCTCTACAGACAGGAGAAGGAACTAGGTGTTGAAAAGATTTACAGACTCCTTTTAAAAATGTCACCATTGGCTGTTGTAGACAATCCCTAAGTCCTGCCTTGCCCTCAACCCTCATGTCCAGGTATCCAGACTTGCCTCCAAGCCCCCCAGGTCTCTTTTGGCCTGGCCTACATTTCTGGGTCCTCCCTGTGTCCTCACTGTGACTCTGCAAGGGCTGGTCCCATCAACCCTTGCCTGGACCAGTGCCTCTACCCTCTCCCTGTGCTGGTCACCATGGACACAGACTCAGGACATAATTGCCCTAAATGGTCACTCCATGCCTTTTATCCCCGCTCCTTGTGTTCTCCTGTAGTGTCTGATTATCTGCAGAATAAGAACAAGTAGCAATGATATTAATCATCATAGTAGGAAAGATAACTGATGTCCAGAGTCCCTAGTACGTGTGTGCTCCTACCCCAAGACAGGTACTGGCTGGGCACAGTGGCTCATGCCTGTAATCCCAGCACTATGGGAGGCTGAAGTGGGTGGATCACTTGAGGTCAGGAGTTTGAGACCTGCCTGGCCAACATGTTGAAACCCCATCTCTACTAAAAATACAAAAGTTAGCTGGGCCTGGTGGTGAATACCTATAATCCCAGCTACTCAGAAGGCTGAGGCATGGGAATCACCTGAAACCAGGAGGCAGGAGTTGCAGTGAGCTGAAACCACATCACTGCACTCCATCCTGGACAATAGAGTGAGACTCTATCTCAAAAAAAAAAAAAAAAGACAGGTACTATTGTCATTCCACTTACAGCAGGACGATAAGGCACAGTATGGTGAAATAACTTGCCTGGTATCAAGGAGGAAGAGCTAGACTTTGAAACTGGGTACTGTGGCCCCCAGAGTCCTCTATCTTAACCACTTTCGTTGCTAGATTCTTTTATTTTATCTCATGTGTCCCCCACAGAAGCCCTTTGATTTTCTTATTAGTCCCCAAACATGTTAAACACTTTGTGTGTGTGTGTGTGTGTGTGTGATCACTTGTTCACACTCTTTGTACATTCCTTTCTTTCTATTTATCTGAGGCTGGCCTTCAAGCTTTGTTCAATACTTTCAGTTGCCTCTGGTTGGTTATTTAATAATATCCCCTCTTCAAGACAATCTGCCTTGAGCATACATTTTCTTATATGTATTTCTCTTCCAGGTCTACATGTTTTCCCACCTAGCAGAGTGTGAGATCTTTGAGACCCAAACCCATAGTCTTATATCCTGTTTTATCTCCAGCATCTAATGCAGAATCTCTCATAGAGCTATGGTTGCACAAAGCACTGGTTTCACAGGGAGTTGTTCTTTAGTTCTATAATGCCCATTATCTCTCTGCCAATCTTTGAAATTGAATACTTTTCTCAAGCTTATTGACAAGTGACTGGAATTCTCTCTCTGGCTTTTTTGCATATTTACCCTGATGAAGAGGCCCTGTCAAGGAACTGTGGGTATCCTCTGGTCAGCAGCCAGAGAGAAACAGAGGACCTTGGAATAACAGCCTTCAAGAAGCATTATTTTGCCAACAGCCATGTGAGTTATCTTGGATGCAGATCATTTCCCAGTTGAGCCTTCTGATGAGACTGCAGACCCAGTTTCCACTTGATTGCAGCCTTACAAGAGACTGAAGCTGAGGACCTAAATAAGTCATACCCAGATTTCTCCTCCAAAGAAACTGTGAGATAATATGTGTGCATATTTTAAACTGACAAACTTCAGGGTACTGTGATTCATAGCAACAGATCAGCAAAGCACACACTAAGTGTCTCAAATGTTCATGATATAATAGCATAAAAGTAATAAAACAAGTGGACAAACAAATCTATGATCAATGAATGTCATGAAATGTCTCAGAGACAACTGGGTAACCACATGAAGAAGTTGTCCCATGTACATGTGAGGGCCAATGAGTTAAAGGAGCCCTAGTTAGCTAGTTTGATTTCATGGGGGTTACTCTTGGTTGCATAAATTTAATTATTTATTTATTTATTTTTTTGAGATGGAGTCTTACTTTGTCACCCAGGCTGGAGTGCAGTGGCACAATCTTGGCTCACTGCAACCTCTGCCTCCCGGGTTCAAGCAATTCTCCTGCCTCAGCCATAAGAGTAGCTGGGACTACAGGCACATGCCACCATGCCTGCCTAACTTTTGTATTTTTAGTAGAGACAGGGTTTCACCATGCTGGCCAGGCTGGTCTCGAACTCCTGACCTCATGATCTGCCTGCCTCAGCCTCCAAAAGTGCTGTGATTAGAGGCATGAGTCACCATACCTGGCTGGTTGCATAAATTTATACAGTATATTTTACTTCTTTGTCTGACTTCCTGCTATTTCCCTCCCTACTGATCGTTTTGTGGGCTGATTTTTTTTTGTAATTTTAATTGAATCATGTTATGCTGTATATGAAGTGAAACCTTTAATGGGATAAATCAAACTAAATAAAATGTTTACTTATAAGGAACTCATTTTTGAGGACTCATTTGGACCCAATTCTCTTCCTGGATCTGGTAGCAAATTGAAAAATGTGCCATCTTGGTCCAGTTCCCAGTTGTTACAGTCTTTTTGATATGATTTAAATGCCAGTGTAGAGTTCTGAAAAGAACTTGGTCTCCTCTTTGCCTGCAGTTTATCATTCTGTCTCCTTTTGGATGAATTGTGTGTCATTCCTATAAAAATACCACAGTTGAAAACAAGCATTTCCCAGCCATGAGCAGTATGCTTCCTGAAAGCATATTCCCTGGAAGGGAATGACATTGCCTATTTTTTCTATTGATCTGAGACATAGTGGGTAGGACAGAGAGCAATTAAAGAATTGGCATAATATAGGGTTTCTCTGTCTCAGCACTTGTGGCGTTTTGGACCAAATAGTCATTTATTGTGAAGGGCTGTCCTGTGCACTGTAGGATACTTACCAGCATCCCTGACCTTTACCCACTCATTGCTAGTAGCACTCTCAGGTCATGACAACCAAAAATGTCCCCTGGGGGTTGAGAACCATTCACATTATTCCACCACATGAATAGTCTGCCTCTACTCTGATTTATTCGACAATCAATAATAGCAATGGCTATAATCTAATAATACATCTATAAATTCATCTACAAATACAGCTACAAATTATTTACTATATGTCTTATTTATAGATATTTGAGAATTCATATTTCCACTTTAGAGGGCAAGGGTAGTATGTTTCTCTGGCATATTAAGTTGATGTTCACATTTCAAACAAAATTATAATGAACAAATATTCCAAATACTGCTTTAAAAGAGAAGATACATATGTCTTTATTAAGTGATATTTTAGACCCTTTTTCAGTGTTTTAAGAATCCTGTACTCTCTTATCTACTGAGGAGGCAAACAGTGTGTGTGTGACTTTGTCATTTTTGGTTGTATTCAATAAAAATATTCTGGGAGCCTCCATTCAGTAAATGAGCTCCATTTGCTTGAAATCATTATTTGGCAAGAAAACAGTTTTCACTTTACAGCTTTAAAAGCTCATAGTTTTATTTTTAAAAGTTAGTCATTTCCATTAGCAGGCAAGTAGCAAGTAAATAAATACAAGAAAACAAAAATAAATGTTTAGTATATTTTCCCCCTAGTTTTTGATTATTGATTTGGTTCATTTTTGGTTTGTGGAAGCAAAAGAGCACATTAGAAATTTTATCCTTTCTGATTTGCCTCGTGAAAAAATTTTAAGATGCATTATATGGATTTAGTATCGTACAGAAGAGACATGGAGGGGGTGGTCATGGAAAATCACACTCTTCCATGTCACATGGACCTGAAATTCAGTCTTCAACTCCCTTAGCTGTAAAATGGGACAGTATCATCCTCCTCATGATGTTCCTGGGAACATTCAGTGATGGACCCAACCTTTGTGAAGTTATTTCTGATCTTGTCCTGCTTTGTTTTTTTGTGGCAAAAAACACATTACCTAAATTTAACCTCATAATCATTTTAAAGTGTATAATACAGTGTTGCTAACTACAGCACATCATTGTACAATAGATCACTAGAACTTTTTCATCTTGCAAAAATGAAACTCTATATTCATTAAACAACTCTTCATTTTCCCTTAACCCCTGGCAACCATCATTCTACTTTCTATCTCCATGAGTTTGACTATTTTAGATCCCTAGCATAAGTGGGGTAATACAGTATTTGTCTTTTTGTAACCACTTATTTCACTTAGCATAACGTCCTCAAGGTTCATAATTTACTTCCTATACCACATTTTCTTCATCCATTCATTTGACAATGGACATTTAGGTTGCCTCCATACCTTGGCTATCGTGAATAATACTGCGACGAAAATAAATGTGCAGATACCTCTTTGTGAGTCTCTTCAATTCTTCTAATATAAACCCCGCTTGTTCTACTTTTTAACTTCCTAGTCTTGTGAACATAATTTTATGATTAGAATAATAGAATCTTCTGTAGTATTTTTGGGCCCTTTTTTGGTATCTCTCTTTTAAAAACATGCCTATCTTCTCCTACTGGTCAGAGTCATCTGATGTCAGGGACTATGTCTTATTCATCTTTGTGTCCCCAGCACTTAACTAGTCCTCAGTAAAGAATGTTGCTTGTCTGACTAATTGGATCCACACATTATTTAATTGATGAGTGTCAATGGAGATTGTGGCATAGAGAAGCCTCTTGATAAATGTAATGTTTTCTCCTTCTACAAGTTAGAGTCATGAAGATGGGATTGTAACAAATGCAGTGCAAAAACATCATTCAATAACATATTCTCCATTGCATGTAAGTGACAGAGAACCTTCTGTCCAAATACGGGATTTTGAAACATAGCAATACATATTCTGGTAAAAATCAACACTGTAGTTTGAAGGATACATGATTAGTGCCTTTTTTCAATGCATTGAATAGCACAGCAAACGAAGTAGAACCAGTTAAACACCAATATTTAGTTAAAGGAAGACAGGCCACACACTAAACTGAGATATTCTTATTAAAGTAAGGAGAAATTCCTGTTATCACCTTCTTGGTTGAGTTTCCACATGCAGACCTCCCTGCGGTTAAGTCAGAGAAGGTCTGCATCTATTTACTTGTTCATTCATTCACCCCTGTGTTAGATAAATTTTTATCCTGCGCTTCCAACATTTTCCCCCAGTCTCTGTGTCTTTGTGGGATTTAAATATCAATGGATATGAACAATGTCCAAATGATTTCCAGAAGTTTTAATGACATTGATTGATAATGTATATGGAATTCCCATCATATGGAATTGACTTTTTCTTTGAATGGAATCAGAACAGTCATGTCAGAATCCAGTATTTGAGAAAAGGGGGACATTAAACATCTTGCTTTGTTTTCTGTTTTGTCTTTATTTGGTTGTTTTATGTAACGTGGCGCTGGTTGGTATACCATCTAGTGCTCTGCCAATCTGGTATTTATTTCAAATGTTTTAGCTTGTCCTGAATTAGCTGTGGTTTCTAACATATGTAATTAAAGGACATCAGTACTGGTCTCTACCTGACCAGAGGCATGCCACAGACAGATGATTCTTTGCAAATTACAACCTTGAAACCAAGGAACTCTGTTGGGCTCCCTTGCTGGTGGTGTAGAAGCAGTGTGGAAGTCTACCATGGGTGTATAATGAGAAACTGATGCTGATAAATTTTATAACAAAAATAATACGATTATAATAAACATACTTTACAAGTGGACACAGACTTACACTTTACAAAATGATTTCCCAGTCTTACCTGACACTCATGACCTCCTTAGGAAGCAGGTTTAGACTTCAGAGGAGGTAAGTGACCAAACCCACGCTCCTTCCATGCTTGTTAAAGTAGAGCTGTTGGAAATGTTTGGGTAATTGCCCAGCATCACCTGCTAATATGAGGGCTGCCTGGTTTGTGAGGAGAACAAGGAAGGCTTTGGATTCAAATATACCCAAGTCCAAATCCTTGTTTAGGTGCTTATTAGCTTTGTAACTTTGGCAACTTCTTAGTCTCTTTGCTTCAATTTCTTCATCTACAAATTTGTAATATAATAGTTAACCTGAAGGGTTGATTTAAGTTTGAAATTTTCATGTTTTTTCCCTGACCTCAAGTAGTTGTATCTTTTTCAATATTACTCCCCCAACTCTATGGACACCAACTGGGTGTCCTACAATTTATCTCATCCTGTCACTAACTCCTAGAGTTATTGCAGACCCAAAGGTAAAGGGCTCAGACCCACAAGACTGCCCCTACTTTGGATGCCAGCCACAGTGGAGTGCTCAGATTATCCACACTTCTGCTTAGCTGGCTACAGATTCAGGGGTTCCCTTGATATCCTCCCTCCCCCCACCACCTGGTTTGAGAATTTGCAGAATAACTCACAGAACTCAGGAAAACAGTTTACTTATGTTTACCAGCTTATTATAAAGGATACAACTTAAGAATGGCCAGATGGGGCCTCGGGCAGTGGCTCATGCCTGAAATCCCAGCACTTTGGGAGGCTGAGGTGGGCAGATCACCTGAGGTCAGGAGTTCGAGACCAGCCTGGCCAACATGATGAAACCCCATTTCTACTAAAAATACAGAAAAAGTAGCCGGTCATGGTGGTGTGTGCCTGTAATTTCAGCTACTCAGGAGGCTGAGACAGGAGAATCGCTTGAACCTGTGAGGCGGAGGTTGCGAGAGCCGAGATCACACCGCTGCAGTCCAGCCTGGGCAACAGAGTGGGACTCCCTCAAAAAAAAAAAAAAAAGAAAAAGGAAAAGAAAAAAAAAGAATGGCCAGATGAAAGAGATGCATAGGGCAAGGTATGGGGAGTAAGGAACATGGTACTTTCGTGCCCTCTCCAAGGCACCTCATCTCCCAGCACATTGAGCATTTACCAACCCATAATTTCTCTGAGCCCCATCATTAAGGGGTTTTGTAGAGGTTTTGTTACATAGGCATGGTTGATTAAGTCGTTGGCCATTGGTGGCTGAACTCAATTTCCAGCCCCACTCTCCTCCCCCAGAGTGGGTGGGACTGAAAGTTCTAACCCTCTAATTCCAGGGTTGTTTTTTCTGGCAACCGGACCCCTATCCTGAAGCTATCCGGGGCCACACCCACCAGTCATCTTACATCAGCATATAAAAGACACTCATCACTCAGGAGACTCTGTGGGTTTTAGGAGCTATGTGCCAGGAGCCAGGAACAAAGGCCAATGCATATATTTTATTATGCTTGCAGAAATGGAATAACATCCCAAAATCCTGCCTCCAATGGGGACTTAACAGCACTGTTCCTTTTTTGTAGTACAAGGTTGTTACCAAAAAGGGGCCCCTATCCAGACCCCAAGAGAGAGTTCTTGAATCTCATGCAAGAAAGAATTCAGGGTGAGTCCATAGAGTAAAGTGAAATCAAGTTTATTAAGAAAGTAAAGAAATAAAGAATGATTACCCCATAGGCAGAGCAGTGGCATGAGCTACTCAAGCTGCTTAACTTACCATTACTTCTTGATTATATGCTAAACAAGGGGTGGACTATTCATGAGTTTTCTGATTAAGGAGTGGAAAATTCCCAGTACTGAGGGTTCCTCCCCCTTTTAGACCATATAGGGTAACTTCCTCCCTTTTTCATGGTATTTGTAAACTGCCATGGCACTGGTGGGAGTGTTTCTTAACATGCTAATGCATTATAATTAGTGTATAATGAGCAGTGAGGATGACCGGAGGTCACTCTGGCCACCATCTTGGTTTTGGTGGGTTTTGTCTGACTTCTTTACTGCAAGCTGTTTTATCAGCAAGGTCTTTGTGACCTGTATCTTGTGCTGACCTCCTATCTCATCCTATGACTAAGAATGCCTTAACCTCCTGGAAATGCAGCCCAGTAGGTCTCAGCCTTATTGTACCCAGCCTGTATTCAAGATGGAGTTGCTCTGGTTTAAATGCCTCTGACAGGATAGAGCCAGGACTGGGCCCCAGGCCATCTAGCTGACCTCATATTTCCACCTACAGCAAAGTCCTACATCACAGGATTGACAAGGTACAATAAAGGAGTCCTACATTCCCACTCTGTGGAGCTCTGGCTCTAACACCATTTCTAACACATGCTAAACAGAGTAATGGAATCTTCATTGACAAATATTGAGGGCACAGCATTAAGAGGGATTTTCCTGTTATGACTCCTTATTTCCACAAGATGTGGAAGGTTGTGCAAAACAAAGCCAATACACACACACGCTTAGGTCCTTCCTGAGAGCCTAGATTAATTTTATTGCAAACAGAAAGTAGGGAGATATGAAGGTCCATGGCAAGTAGGATAGTACAACACAACACAGTACAATATGACATAATCACAGAACATTTTTCATTAATGGATAAAGAAAATATAGTATCATATACACAATGGAATACTATTCAGCCTAAGAAAATGAAATATTATCATTTGGGACAATATAGATGAACCTGGAGGACATTACGCAAAATGAAATAAGCCAGGCATAGAAAGATACATGCCACATGATCTTACTCATCTGTGGAATCTAAGAAAGTCCAACTCAGAGGAGTGTAAGGGAGTACCCCCATTTTTTTAAGAGGTGGTTTATTTTTTTTCCCTCTATCACTTTTTTTCTCACTTCCCTGGCTCCCTATTTCCTACCTAGCCCTTCAGAAATGCAAATGTAACCTTTCACCTCCCCCGTCACCAGACATTCCTTACAGGGCAAGTTCATCTAACTATGCACTCCAAGATGGATCTCTCCTGGAGAGTTGACAGTTGATTTGCAGACCAAAGCATACCCCATGGAACTTTCACTTGTAGGGGGTTGCCTCAGAACTTTGATCCACTAGAGGGCATATGGAAAGCATGCCTGCTTGGCCACTTTTACAACTTACATCTGCCCAGGAAGGTGCCAACTCAACTGTAGATAGACAAGGCACCAACCTAACAGGGGGAACCCTGCCCTTGCTCATTCCCCACCCCGCCACCTTATAAAAGTGCCCGCTTTCTGCTCCAAAGGTGAAGCAGTACAGTAGGACATCTGTGCCTCTTCCCCAAGCTAGCTTCGGAAGAAATTCACTTTTTTAGGTATCAGATCTTACTTTTTTTAACTGGACTCTAAATGCAGCAAGCAACTAAGCTGCATTTCAGTTACAGAAGCAGAGTTGAATGGTAGTTACCAGAGGCTGGGTGTTTTGTGAGGGATGGGGAGATCTTGGTCAAAGGGTACAACTTTCAGTTATGGAGGATAAATAAGTTCTGGAGATTTACTGTACAGTTTGGTGACAATGGTTAATAATGCTTCATTGTATATTTGAAATTGACTAAGACAGTAGGTCTTCAATGTTTTCACCACCCCCAAAAAAAAGTATATAAAGTGATGTATATGTTAATTTTCTTGATTTGATAATTTCATTATATATACATATATTAAAAACATCGTGTAAATATATGTAATTTCTAATATTAATTTTTAAAATTTTATTTTTAATTGACATAATAGTTCTATATATTTATGGGGCACAAAGTGATATTTTGATATATGTTTACAATGTGGAATGATTAATTCAGGCTCATTAACAAATTCATTACATGCTTTTCATTTTTGTGGTGAAAATATTTTAAATCTACTCTCTTGGCAATTTTAAAATATATAATGCATTGTAAATATAGTCACCATTCTGTGCAATAGGTCACTAACACTTATTCCTCCTTATTTAACTGAAACTTTGTACCTTTTGATCAACATCTCTCATTTCTTCATACACTCCTCTCCCCCAGCTTTTGGTAACCACATTCTATTTCCACTTCTATGAGTTCAACTTTTTTAGATTCCACATATAAGTGATATCATGCAATACTTGCCTTTCTGTGCCTGGCTTATTTCATGCTGCATAATGTACTCCAGGTTTATCATGTTGTCTCAAATAACAAGATTTCCATCTTTTTAAAGGCTAAACAGTACTCCCTTGAGTATATAGATCACACATTCCTCATCCATCCATCTGATGGTGGACACCTGGGCTGCTTCCATATCTTATCGATTGTGAATAATGCCGCAATGAACATTGGAGTGCCCACATCTCTTCAACATGCTGATTTCAATATATTTCTATTTGTTAATTATACCTCAATAAAGCTGGGGTGAGGAAAAATATATCAGCCACTTGGCAAATTAAAAAAAGAATATTTCCCATGTTCTTTGTCCTAAAGCAAGAATAAATGTAATCAGTTATTTCTGGGAGTCCACACGAACTGTCTGGGATGTGAGAACAGTCCTCAGTCACATATCAGCACTTATTTTCCTCATCAGCTCAGGGCTCACTAGCTTTGACAGGCACAAGCACGTTCCTGCCAAGTCCTTCATCAGAAAATGTTTTCCTAACTCAGGCAGATGGAGATTATCATCAACTTCAAGACCGCCCAAAAGAAGATCCGAGTGCTTCAGTCACTGGGACTGCAGGGAGAAGTGTTCAGACAGAGGGAACCTTGAGCAACTGGATGCTGTGTGAGCCAGCAGAGACGGCCAGGGGAGGGTCCCATGGAATCAAGCCAGAAATGCTCTGTCCAGACCCTTCTTGCCCTGGGCTTAAAGGACAGAGCTTCCTTATTGGGCAACTCCCTTCATCTTAACTCCTTCTATGTATTAATACATGTTGAAAGAAAATTTATTTCCCTGGCTGTTTTTTTTTTTTTTTTTTTTTTTTTTGAGACGGAGTCTTGCTCTGTCGCCCAGGCTGGAGTGCAGTGGCTGATCTCGGCTCACTGCAAGCTCCGCCTCCCGGGTTCACGCCATTCTCCTGCCTCAGCCTCCCGAGTAGCTGGGACCACAGCCACACATCCACCACCACGCCTGGCTAATTTTTTGTATTTTTAGTAGAGACGGGGTTTCACCGTGTTAGCCAGGATGGTCTCGATCTCCTGACCTCGTGATCCGCCTGCCTCGGCCTCCCAAAGAGCTGGGATTACAGGCGTGAGCCACCGCGCCTGGCCTTCCCTGGCTGTTTTGAAATATAGCGCAGTGGGAGAAAATTTGAGGCATAGTAACGCCAACAGGTAAGAATACGACTGCCATTGAAAAGATAGTTTCTCACAGTTCCCAAGGAGAGAGCCCACACCATGCCACGAGGTATATATGGAAATACCAAGATAGGCCATAGGCAGAGGAATCGAGGGTACTGTGGGCAAGAGCCTTTATTTTGTTTTGTTTTGTTTTTGTGGGAAGGGACTGGTGAGGCAGGGTAAGCAGGCTTGGGATTGGCTAGTATGAATCATTTCAGTGGGCTCTGGGGTGGAGGGACTCTCCCTGGTTGTCTGGTACCTGCCCTGGGGTGATTGGGGTAAGGGGATAGTGGCCCAGAGTATGAGAGCCCCATAGAGGGGGCAGTGGGGTGTGGGCTCTGGGTTGGTTGTTTTACATATGAAAGGTGTACTCACAGGGGTCCTTTACTCCCTCTAGGAATTAGCTGGTTCTTGGGGCTGGGGTGGGGAGAACAGTTCCTCCAGGGCCAGCAGCTCCCAAGATGTCAAAGCATCAGAATACAAAAAATAAAATACTTGGTAATACACTGGCCAAATTTTTATATTATTATTGCAAGACCATCCCAGATTCACACTGGACAGAAACGAGTCGCCTTGTCAATGTCTAGATGGGGCTTTGTAAGAAGCCCGGTCATCAAAGGCTCAGCCCAGGCATGGCTTTCTAGGGAACATGCAGTTGGGCTCAGTAGTTATGTGTGGGGCTGATCAAGGAGCCCAAATCTTAGGGGTCCCTTTGGTGAGGGAGGCTCAGCTGAGCAGCACAGAGAGGGCTTGGTGGCAGTTCTGACCTTTTAGATTTAATTGAGTCTTGGATCAGTAAACTTTATGAAATATGTCACATACAACCCAATTTCAGAGGCATTTCTATGTCCATTTTATGAAGATATTAAATCACTTTTTGAAACTGAGATTTTTATCTGGAAGCCTTTTCATGACTTTGTTAATCCAGAGCTGCCTTTTGATTTCTTCTTTTCTTCCTTTTCTTTTTTGAGTGGAAGAGTGATAACAGGACCTGAATAGTAAACACTGTTTTGTTTTTTAACTTGAGAAACACAAGCCCAAATAATAATTTAAAATCTTCAAGAAAAATAGAGATTTTTTTTCTCCCTCATCTAAAATTCACATGGCTGGAGCTGTACCTTTAAGTATTCAGGCTCGATTCTTTCTAAATTGGCAGGGAATTGACCTGCAGTTTTAAAAAGAAGCCTGTTTTTTCCTTATATGCACGTAGAATGTTCATCTACATGTTTAAGGCAACTGCAAATGGTCTCCAGGTGATATAAAATAAAGGGTGTCTGAAATCTAAAGTAATTATAGGGATATAGTATGAAGAAAGGGTCATATGTAAAAATCAGGATTATACTCTTGTGCTTATCAAAATTCTCCAGATAATAATGTTTAAAGATAATTCAAAAACATCTACTAGGCAATTTTATAACTTAAAAAACTCTTAAAATAAATGGTTTTAACCAGATCAATATAAATCTCTGAATCAAATTTAACTTTTAAATTGTGCCTCCTGTAAAACCTTCCAGGTAAGATATAAAGTATTTCAATATTCAGTAATAATCACGGCAACGCTACCTGAAAAGTCAGAGCAGGGCCTCAATCTCCTCTCTAAGATTAGAAAAATGCCCCTTTGTTTTCTCTCCAGATATTCTTCTGATTTCTGCTAGGACCCAATTTTGTCTCGCTTTCCCTCATCTACTTTTCTTTAACCAATAAACATTTATTATGTACCTACCTATTGTTGACAAAAAGAGTCAAACTGTAAAATATTTGAAGACATTTATTCTGAGCCAAATATAAGTGACTAATGGCCTGTCACACAGACCTCAAGAGATCCTGAGAGCATGTGCCCAAGGTGGTTGGGACACAGCCTAGTATTATACATTTTAGGGAGACATGAGACAGCAATCAAATACATGTGAGATATACATTGGTTCGGTCCAAAAAGGTGGGACAACTTTAAGAGGGAGAGGGCTTCCAGGTTTTGGGTAGATGATATAAAGAATTTCTGATTGGCAATTGGTTGAAAGAATTATTATCAATAGAGAGGAGTGTCTGGGTTACAGTAAGGGATTGTGGAGACCAAAGTTTTATCATGCACATGAAACCTCCAGGTAGCAGCTATCAGAGAGAACAGATTCTAAATGTTTCTTAACAGTCTTAAGGTCTGTGTTGATGTGAATGCTGGTTGGCTTTTCCTGAATTCCAAGAGGAAGGAGGGCATAATGAGGCATGTTTGACCCTGCCTTCCCGTCGTGGCCTAAACCAGTTTTCAGGTTAACTTTGGAATACCCTGGCTGAGAGGAGGGCTTGATTCCGATGGTTAGGGGGGCCTTAGAATTTTATTTTTGGTTTAGTCTATGCAAAGCCTTCATTACACTAGGTATTGGACATATAGCATTAAACAGGGCAGACACAGTTCCCAACCTCATATCCTTAGCATCAAATGAAAGAAAGATAATTACAGGAGCAATTTCAGGTTATTCATATGATAAGTGTTATGATAGGGAAGTACAGTGGATGATAGACCAAAATGTTTGAAAACATTTTGAGAGATGATTTAATAAAATTTAATGTAATTTAATTTTTATGTTTTAAATAAAATTTAATTTAATAAAAAGAGAGTCATCTATTGTGGACTTTTGAGGATCAAAGCTATTGATCATCAGTGGTAGGTGGTCTACCGATGTACTCCTTTCTGAGGGAAACCCTGGTCTTTTGTGCAATATATGAGAAGAAAGACTGAACCATCTGGCATGAGAAGGAAGTGATACCCTGGTTTGCTGACACGCATCCCACCATCATTAAGGGAGCTGGCCTTATGATAGATCCTATTCTGCAGAAAACAGAAGGGATGGTAGAATGAAAAGAACATTCTAGAGGTAGTGAACATATGTGCAAAGGCCCATGGCTGGGGATTGAGAAGGAAGAGAGGGAAGTTTGCAGGGTTGTAGAGGACCCTGCCTGTTGTCTATCCTCAGGGCAGTGGGAACCCTCTCAAGGGTTTTATTAGCGGTTGTTGTTTAATGACATTGCCCTGCAGGAGAGTCACTTTGGCTGCAGGGTGGGCTCAACAGGGGTGAAGGAGACTGGTCACAAGGCTGTTCTGGTAAATCAAAGAAAGTTTCTCAAACATTTTGGTCTTAGGGCTCCTTTACACACACAAAGTATTGAGGATACTAAAGAGTTTTTGTTTTGTGGTTGTACCTACCAATATTTGCCAAATTAGAAATTGAAACAGAAAATTTAAAAAGTATTTAACTCATTAAAAATAACATTAATTAAACCATTACATGTTAACTTGACATTTTTTTATAAAACAGAACTCTATTTCAAAAACCAAAAATCTAGGATAATAGGATACCATTGCTTTACATTTTTGCAAATCTCTTTAAAGTATAGTCTAATGGAAGCCTGATAGAGTCTCATTTGCTTTCACTGTCAGTCTGCTGTGAGTGCTTTTTAGTTTAAGTACGCAAAGAAAATCCAGACTTATGCAGATGTATACTTGGAAAATGGAGAAATATTTTAATGGTCTTTTCAGATAATTGTGCATATTATTCTTTGATACCACACCAATATTCAACAGATGGTAGTTTCTTAAATGTTAGTTGCAAAGGGGAATCTGAAACGATATCAGTACACTTAAATTCTGTACATTGAAAACCATTAATCTCTCTTGAACTTTGAATGGGTTTTATTCATGCATGATATGATGTTGTAGATGCCTGCAAGGACCTTGGAGATAGATCCCTAGGGGTCCCTGAATCACCTCTTGAGAACAGCTTCAGAAAATCAAAGAAGCTATGATAGGAACCTGAATGAGGGAGGTAAAAGGAACAGTAGAGATGTAATGAGAGATGGATAAACACAGCATTGCTGGAGAATTGAGGATGGATCTCATTTAGGGAAAGAGGAAGAGATGCCTCCCAGGTTCTGGCCTGGGTGAATGATGGTGCATTCATTGATAAGAGAGCACAGGTTGAGAATCAGGTTTGGGCAAAATGAGGTGAATTCTTTTGGGCATGTTAGAATTAGGGTGCTTTCAGACATTCTAGAAGTGATGCACACTTGAGCCTGAAGCTCATGAGAGTCCTCGCTCAAGGACAGATTTGGGTTGAAAATCTTAAGTGTATGCAACAATAAATAAAGCCAGAGAGCAGGCAAGGTAACCAGCAGAGAGTTCTCCACAAGCTCAAAGAGAGGTGACTGAGGGAGGAAATCTATAAAGTACTGACATTTATGGGACAAGAAGGAGGAAGAGGAAATCTAAGAGAAGACTGAGATGAAGAAGAAAAACCAAAAAGATGTCATGCTGTGGAAAGCAAGGAAGGAATGGGAGTGCTTCCAGAAGAAGGAAGTGGCCCATGGGGGTACGTGCTGCAGTGGTTCAGGAATATAAAAACTGATGTGCTGCTGAGCTCAGAGCATAGGCCTGCAGTAGCAGCGCACTGGGGAGGGAAGTGCAGGGGTCAGGATACTTCATCCCTCACTCCACGCTTCATACCACTTGCCTTCGTTGAACACCTGCTCAGGTGTAGGCATAGAATTTTTCTAACACATCCCTCACTTTTATGATGGTTATAGTTAATACTGTGGGGAAAGTAGAGAATAAACAAGTCAACCAATATATGCTTATAATCTTACGGGAATCCCCAAACAAGCTCTAAAATGTAGAGAAGACAAATTCACATTTCCTTACATTCAATGCTAAGATCCAAAATGCTCTGGAAACTAAAAAGTTGGTCATATCTCATTTGGTGGCAAAACCAAACTGAGAAGACTTTAGGATGGTTACAGTCTCTTTTTAGCCCATTAAGTTACTATTTACACTACTCAATAAAAATAGTCAGTATTCTTGTTTTGTGGTGCTGCCTCAGACCCAGCTGGAGGTATATATAAATTACATCACCCCTTTGAAATCTGACAATGTCTGAATCCCTAACAAATCCACAAGGATTGCATATAAGAGATCATGGACCTGTTCTGTCTCTGTTTCACAAATGAGTTAAAAAAGAAACAAAGGTTAAATAACTTCTTCATATTTACACAGCCACACTAGGCTACTGCACCAAGCTGTCTCTTAAGTAGGATATCCAACATCAAGTAAAGTAGCTCATATATCCATCCACCTGTCCATATGTCCATCCATCCACCCACCAACTCACCAACCCATCCATCCATCCATCCACCCATGCATCTACCCATCCATGCATCCATCCATCCATCCATCCATCCACCCACCTGTCCATTCATCCATCTACTCATCCATCCACCCATCCTTCCACCTATCCATGCATCCATCCATCCATCCATCCATCCATCCATCTATCCATCCATCCACCTGTTCATTCATCCATCCACTCATCCACCCACCCATCCTTCCACCTATCCATGCATCTATTCATCCATCCATCCATCCATCCACGCATCCATCTACATCTACCCATTCATCCATCCACTCATTCAGCCACCCATCCATCCACCCATCCTTCCACCCATCCATGCATCAATTCATCCATCCATCCATCTACCCATCCACCTGTCCATTCATCCATCCACCCATCCATTTACTCATCCTTCCACCCATTCATGCATCCATTCATGCATCCATCCACCAATCCATCCACCCATTCATCAATCCACTCATCCATCAACCTATCCATCCACCCATCCATCTATCCATCAACCTGTCCATTCAGCCATCCACCCATCCTTCCACCCATCCATGCATCCATTCATCCATCCATCTGTCCACCCATCCATCCACCCATTCATCCATCCACTCATCCATCCAACCACCCATCCACCCATCCATCTACCCATCCACCTGTCCATTCATCCATCCACCCATCATCCACCCATCCTTCCACCCATCCATTCATCCATCCATCCATCCATCCATCCATCCATCCATCCATCCACCTACCCATCCACCCGTCCATCCATCCATTCATCCATCCACCCATTCATCCATCCACTCATCCATCCACCTATCAATCCACCCATCCATGCATCCATCCGTCTACCTATCCATGTATTTATGGATGAGTATCCATTCATCCATCTATCTATCCACCCACCCATTTGTTTGTCCAAAACATTTACTTGAGACTCTGTTATGGTTCAGACTGTTGAGGTAATGGTTCAAAGTTACTGGAAAAGTGGTGAAAACTCCTTTTTTAAAAAGTAGGAGCTGCAGAAAGCATTCTTCCATAGATGCTACTCAAGGGCTCTGGGAACTGAAGGAATGATTGTTTGTTTGTTTGTTTATTTACTTCAAGACAGTCTCGCTCTGTCGCCCAGGCTGGAGTGCAGTGGTGTGATCTCAGTTCACTGTAACCTCCGCCTCCTGGGTTCAAGCAATTCTCGTGCCTCAGTCTCCCGTGTAGCTGGGATTACAGGCACTCGCCATTATGCCTGGCTAATTTTTTTGTATTTTTAGTAGAGATGGGGTTTCACCATGTTGGCCAGGCTGGTCTCAAACTCTTGGCCTCAGGTGATCCACCCACCTTGGCCTCCCAAAGTGCTGGGATTACAGACATGAGCCACTGAGCCCAGCCTGAAGGAATGATTTAATACTGAGCTGCATCCTGGCTGTATCCGGTATTGATCAACAGAGTTCTTCCAGCTCTCTTACCATTTACTCAAGGGCAAGGACCACATCTCATCTCCTGTGTCCTTTATATTATCCTTACGGGGCCTATTTTAGTGTTTGGAGACTGTGGTCTCTCAAAAAACAACTGGGAGGAATCGAATGATTAATTTTCTATGTGCTGTAGGAGGCAGAAGGATAAAAACAGGGCAGTACAAATGCATTTCAGACGGCAGCCTCCAAAGGAATTGCAGAATTATTTTCTGAAAAACAGAATAAAGAAAGCATGCCTTCAAATGTCATTAGAGAAAACTACTCTCCAAGGGAGAGGAAAGGCTATGGGAAAGCAAAATAGAAAAGCAGTACAACTAAGTGCATATTCTTGCAATTGTGGGGAGGCCTGTGGGGGAAGGTATATGTAAGAGTCACAGAGGAAACAACACACTCAAGAGGTTATAACATCACAACAGAAGTGCTTCACAGGCTCAGAGCCAAGAAACACATCCCTAAGTTCATGGAGGGAACAGTAGATGAGGACATTCAGTGTGGAGAAATTGAGGGCAAGGGTAAAGTTGCATTCCACGACAGAGAACAGAATGACATCTACTCTGGAGAGCTGGGCACAGGATCCAGTTGCCTGGGAAGTACCCGCACCATTTCTGGGAATTTGGCTGAATCAGATGCGGAGACCTGGAGCTGAAACTTCCCACAGCTGTTGCCTGGAATGGAGTGGCGAGCTTTGGATTTGAATAACTCCATGGATTTAACCTGCAGGTTCTGGAGAAGACCAGGACATTTTGCAAAAGCATAACGCAAACCACTCTTGAAGGAAATGACTCAGACAAATGAAGTCTTTGCTCCAATGCTGGTATCTTGTCCATTTTTGACTCTTGACCAGGGGCTCACCCATAGATCTGGTGCTGGGACATGCCCTGCTTCCACATTGAGGTCTCTTGCCCATGTTGGACCCTATGTTCACCCTGGAGCCCCACCTGCCACCTGGTCTTGGCTTAGCATCTTTGTCTTGGGACAGCACGTCCCACGTCCTGAGCTATGAACAGGAAGGAACCCTGAATCTCAGGATGAGATTGTTAACTTTAAAACTATTTTTTTTTACATGAGAACCTCTCCTTTTCCCACAAGAAAATCTAGTGCCCAACCCCAATCCTTAAAACAGATAAAAGTAGAGGCTTTTGGGTGGAGGCTAAGCAGTGGTGAGATGGAAGGGGGTTAGCAGAATGAAACCCATGCCCCTCAGCTTTCCAGGCCCTGGGACCTGAAGATACAGTAATGTGGTAGGTTACTATTTTAATGAATTACATGGAATTTTCATTGAGAAAATCATCAAGGGTATACTTGTATACACATACACAGTTTTGATATGTATATTTTCTGTATTCTGCATTATGCTTCCATAAAAGATGGAAATACTTCACCAATGAAAAGATAATAAGGAAAGAGCCAGATCCTAAGTATGCATTATCTAGTTGAATAAAATTAGAACTTAGATTTTCCATATCACATTTCAGATGACATGCTGTTTAGAGAAATTAGAATCACAAAGTTGAATCTAATCCTTGTATGTGTTGCCTATCAGTTTCTGAAAAAGATTATTTTAAAAATCATATAATGTTTCTCTGGATTCTGTAGTGATTCCAAGGAAATTAAAATGAACTTTAGAGAACCCTTTAACCCCCTCTCCCCAAGAATAGTTCTTGAAAGGATTGCTTAAGAATTCACCACCACTGCTCCCCACTCTCATCTTTAATTCATTTTTCGTGATTGTGGGGGAAGAAATGGAGCTTTAGGGATGGGGCAAGGGATGAAAGAACCAGAAACCCAAAGCCAGAACTAGGCTTTACTTTCATGTGACTGCACCAGATTACTCAGGAAGAGGGGGAAGCTCAGTTTTCAAACAGACATGCTCACTCTGCAGAGGTTGAAGTGGGGAGGTGTTAGAGATCCCAGGAAGCAGGGGGTGCCCGGGATTACTCAGTGTTCCCTGAGGGTGAAGACATTTCACAAAGTGGGGTTGCTTTAACAACCTTTCTTCCCTTCCTTTCCCAATTTTACAAACCATCTGTTGCTGTCTGGGACACATCGACCCTGTTCAAAGCGCGGCTGTCCCAGGGGAGCAGGCCTTGTAACAGTGGGCATGCCTTGTCATGGGTGTCGTCAGCTCGTTACTGATGGTGTATGTTTGCCAAAAGAACTTGCTTTTTCTGCTAGTATTGCCAAGTTTTATTGGAAACATGTGGGTCCTATGTCTTTTGGAGAAAACAGAATCTCCACTGTGCCAAGAATTTTACATGCATAATCTCATATATGTCTCACAAATTCCTAGGAATGGCTATGATTGTCCTCTGTGAAAGGACAAGGTTTGGAGACATGAAGTTGCCTGAGATCACACAGTGAGTAGGCGGTGGAGGCAGGATTCCTACTCAGACAGCCTTAATTAAAATTCTGGGACTCTTAATGATTTCACTAGCCATGCAAATGAAATACTTTAGTGTGGCAGGAGGAAAGAAACTATATACCACTCTAATTAGTCACTGGAATGTGTAGTTAATGTAGGCAATGACCTCATTCATTTGTAAGCGTTTGATGGGAGGAAAGTTCCACTAATAAAATATAGTTTTAAAAAATGAGATTGAAGACTTCATTAGGAAAACATATTAACTTATTTCCTTGGAATTAGAATACATGTAATGCTTTATCTCAGTTACGTAAGCAGAACAAAAAATTAATAGGCAGTAAAGATCCAAAAAGGTGAAAACAGAAAAATAAAAACTCCCATTAAAGCAGTATAAGTAATTGATAGACAACCAGGGGTTTATTTTTCTTTTGTAGAAGTAAACAGCCTCAGATCTCTCTTCTCCTGCTTGCTTATTCTGTACAGACATTTCCTTTCAGGACTGTGAAGATGTCATGCCATTATCTTCTGTTTTTACTGTTTCTGCTGGGAAATCAGCTGTGTATATGTCTTACTGTTGCCCCTTTGAAGTTAATATGCCCTTTAAATTTTTTCTGGATGCTCTAAAGGTTTTTATCACTGTTGTTGATTTCCAGCATTTTACCATGATGTTCTCTAGGTATGGTTTTCTTTGTATTTACCCTGCTTGTGGTTCACTGAACCTCTTGCTTCTATGGGTTTCATGATATTTGAGAAATCTTCAAATATTGTTTCCACCATAATCTCTTTCTCCTTCCCTTGTAGCACTTCAATTGTATATATATTAAACTACTTCATCATGTCACATTTGTTTCTTATATACTTTTTTGGTATTTTATACCCTTTTAAATTCTCTATTCTTTATTCTGGATTTTTCTATTGGCCAATCTTTCAGTTTCCTAATCTTTTATTTGACTGTGACTAATCTGCTGTTAAATCTATCTATTCAGCTCTTAATTTCAGTTATCGCATTTTTCAGTTCTAGAATTTTCATTTGGTTTATTGATTTGAGTTTTCTGCTGAATTCACATTTGTCTTCTAATTTCTTGAATATATGAATCTTAGTTATTTAAAAATCTATTTTTGATCATTCTCATATCGGGATCTGTTTCTATTACCTATTTTTTTTTTCTTTTGGTCCTACTTTCTTGTATGCCTGGAAAGTTTTCATTGCATAGTAGATATTGTATATAGGAAACTGTAGAAGCTCTATCTCTGCTGTCTAGTAGAGTAGCTGTAGGTGGCGATTGAACACTTGCAATGTGGGTTGCTTTTGTGTCAGGTACCCACTGGTTCATATCAATGTGCTCCTCTTTCCTTGAGACATTGGCCAAGTTCTAGCTACCAGGTGTCTTCAGACAGATCCTTTGGCATTTTGTCCAACTTTCCAATCGGGCATCAGCAGGATCAGGCTGCTACAAACCAGACCCTTGGAGCCAGAAGTGGGCTTCCATGGCCATCTCCTGCACTACTTCCTCCCTCATAAATACTAATCTACTTGCTTTTCCTCTTCTCTGTTTATCACTTGGATTCAAAAAAATCTACTAGAATATGTCCTCCATGGAGAAGTTTTCCAAAGTGAGACTGGACTGCCCTGTATTCCTCTGAAGGTGAAGCTGCTTAAACAGAACCTGACCAGTCAGGTCCCCAAAGAGGATCAGGCTTGGACTCTGCTGGGAAAAAATATAGGAATTCCGACATCAGCAGCTGCACTCTTGACTTTTGTTACACTTGCTTTAAAAACTTAGAAGCGATAATAGTAGCTGGGTGGTGCATACTTGTAATCCTATCTACTCAAGAGGCTGAGGCAGGAGGATTGTTTGAGCCCAGGAGTTTGAGACCCAACTGGGCAACATAGCAAGATCTCGTTTCTATTTAAAAGATTAATTTTTAAAAAGTAAAGAAAAAGATATTTTGAGGCTAACCTCCAGATCACCTCTTATGTTATAGAACTTTGGGAGCTGGAGTGAGTCCAGAATTACTTGTTTGCTGTCTCTAGAATGTTCTTTCCACTCCAACATCCCTTCTAATGTGACAGTGGTGAACAGTCTGTCTGCCCAGGTTGACACTTAGATGTTCACAGACAAGCAGTGCCCTCCAGCTCCAGCCAAGGGGTATGGCCTTGAACTTAGTGCTGCTCAACACGGGAAAAGCTAAGTGAAGGATGGGCATGTAGCCCAACTTTCCTCTTACATACCCAACATCTGTGCTTGGATTAAATCAACCACATACTACCCTGAGTGTACCATAGTGCAACCAACCAAAGAATCTTTATTGAATTTCACTTTGGATGAATGCCATTGGCAATGATGGAAGATGGCAAAAGAAAGCTTATTTTGCTTGTGGGAATTTTTTGTTTTGTTTTGTTTTTTAACTGAGACAAGGTCTTGCTCTGTCACTCAGGCTGGAGTGCAGTGGCACGATCTCAGCTCACTGCAACCTTGACTTTCTGGACTCAAGTGATCCTTCCACCTCAGTCTCCCAAGCAGCTGGGAGTACAGGTGTTAACCACCATGTCTGGCTAGTTTCTGTAGTTTTTGTAGAGATGGTGTTTCAGCCTGCTGCCCAGGCTGGTCTTGAACTCCTAGGCTCAAGCAATGTACCTGCCTCAGCCTCCCGAAATGCTGGGATTTTAGACATGAGCCACTACACCCAGTCCACACTCTTACTGTTATGGCTACTAATTTTCTCATAGAGTTATAGCTACTGCAGCTCTTTCCAGTCTTACCTCCTCTCTCCAATGTAGTATCTACACTAGCCAGAGTAATTGTATTAGTTTTCTAGTGCTGCATAACAAACTAGCTCCAAACTTAGTGGCTTAAAACAACAAACGTTCATTTTACCATGTCTGTGGATCAGGAATCTGAGCAAGGCTTCACTGGTGCCTGACTCAGGATCTCTCACAAGGATGCAGCAAAGGGGTTGGCTGGGGCTGAGTGATCTGCGGGCTCAACTCGGATAGGATGCACTTCCAAGCTCACTGACGTGGCTGTTGGCAGCCCTGAGGTCTTGGCTGGCTGTTGGCTGGAAACATCAATTTCTTGACCCATGGATCTCTACACAGGGCAGCTCACCACATGGCAGCTCCCTTCCTTTGGAGTGAGCAAGGGGTAGAGTGAGAGAGAGAAGCCAAGACAGAAGCCACAGGCCTTTTGTAACCTAATCTCAGAAGGGCCATCCCATTCTTTTGCTTGTATTGTATTCATCAGAAGCAAGTCACTAAGTCTAGTCTGCACTAAAGGGAGAGGATCACACAAAGGCATGAATTCCAGGATCTGCAGATCACCAGGGGCCATCCTGGAGGCTTTCTGCCACATCCCCTGACTACACAAAGCCAGCACGCCTCTGCTGGAAATCCTCCAGGGGGTCCACCGTGCTCTTCAGATGGAGTGCAGACCCTGTTGCATGGCTGGCAGGGCCATCCAACCACGCCACTCACCACTCTGGGCTTATTTTGAGAGGCTTCATTCCTGGCCCATTTGTTTTTTCTACAAAGAAGAAAAATGGATTCCATTAAGTTTCATTTTTTTCTCTGTCCCAGATGATATTTTCAAAAAGTAGCAAACTTACCTAAAAAGCCCAAAACAGGATGCTGAAAATGTCGCCAGACTAATGTACAATCCAAGAATGGGTCCCTGAATAATTTACAGTTCCCTGTAACTGAACAGAAACGGGTAAAAGCAGTCAGCGGCTAGCACTTGCTACTGTGTCAGGTACTGCCCAGACAACTTTCCATGGATTGACCCATTTACCCTCCGAAAGCCCTAAGCAGTGTCCTCATTTCACAGATGATGTGCAGGCAGGTCAGAGGCGGGGGGCTGGCTTGGAGCCTGCCCCTATGCCACGTATGCTGCCCTGGCCCATGGATGCTCCCAGACCAGGCAGGCGACCGCGTGGAGTCTACAGCTGCTTCCTGTGCATTTCACAACGCCCAGTACAGCACTCAGGATGGGATTTGATTCCTGAAAATAGCCTTTGTTAACTACTTCAGCCTATACACAATATTTTAAGTGAAGGGGTGGAAACAAGTTTTTGAAATATTTTTAATGTGTATTAGGATTTCATAAATTTGATAACAGAAAAAGCCTTTTTGTAGTTGTTTTTTGTTTTACCTTTTTTCCTAAGTAATCCTTTGAAATGTGGGCATTTAAAGAAGAAATTAAAGTTTCTCTGGACACAAGATTCTGCTTTAGAAGAATTTCTCCAGAGAGTTCTCAAATCGATTCTTTTCTTTCCTAGAAAAATGTAAACAACCACAATTGTTGGGAACCATCCTGTGTTGGAAGGTTTTGCCATTGATGGTCTGTCCAGGTGATTTTAACTTTCTCTTATATGTTTCTTCATTCATCTTTTAGCACCTGTGATGATATTTTTGGGATTAAGCAGCAGATAATTTTTCAATCGAAGGAGTGAGTGACATGAAGACGACGCTGGTTTGGGCTCAACTTCAAGAACTCTCCTGTAGCAGGGCATGGCTTATTTACAATGGAAGGAGCCTGACTGCTGGACGGCACCAGCAGAGAGAGGTTGCCCCCTCTGATGTAAAAGCTGGAACTCCTTTCCCGCCCTAATTCTAAACCACTTACTTTAAAATGACTTCCATGTGGTATGGACAGAAATGCAAATGGAGCAATCACATTTCCTTTGCAAGTATTAGGCTGCACATTTTTTTTTTAACAGAAAGAATGTCAATAAAAGATCTAGGTCTCTGATAACAACACATGGGCCCAATTATTTCAGAAACCAGTTTTATCCTACATGATCCAGAGCACTGGGGACTTTCCAGCATTTTCCATTGTGCAGTCTCTCAAAGTTCAGACTTAGGATTCTTACGTAAAGCATCACTTTTTCACTTAACCCATCCTATTCCCCTGCCCCCAAATTCCAAATGTCTGTTTTTATTTCACATTTTTAAGCTTACTTAATTGACAAATAATAATTGTATATATTTGGGTACAGTGTAATGTTTTGATATATTTTTACATTATGGAATGTTTTAATGTATGCTTCATTAACGGTGAAATGATTTCTGCTAACTATCCCTCATTTTGCAATCCTGAGCAGTTAATGGGAGAAAACAAAAACAACAATTTATGCATCTCTAAGTAGCATGAGTTCAAACGGGCCTTGTCGGAATCTAAGTGAGCCATCTGCCAGTTAAAAGTCGGACTTTCTGTCTTTTTTAACCATGGAAGAGAGTTTATTTTCCAGCTGAACACATTTTTAAAAGGGCTTTTAAGAAGCTAATCATATTAGGGGTCGTCCAGATATCATTGCCTGGGGCACAGGGGGCCACCCAGCCTCCTGTCTAGATAGAGATAGCTTCTCTCTGGAATCTCTTTGTCTTACCCCTTTCTGATGGCCACACCCCAGGGTGCTCTAGGACCAAGATCTCTGAAGCACTGGCCCTCCCTCCTGGCTATCTTGACATTTCTCTCCTCTCTCTTCCCCAATTTCTCACTGTTGCTCTACCCAGAAACAAATTTGCTAATAATCATTTTAAAAATGCACATTTTTGCACACCTCCCCACAGTTGGAAAAACAACCCTTTATGTCAAATGCACATGTGAGCTTCCAAAGCACAGTCATATTTTGTTCTCACTTAATCTTCACCCAAACCCAATGAAGCTACTTACAGTCACTGCCTGCTTTCCAGAAATAAAGAAACGAGGCTCCCAGGACAATGAGATCAGCCCAGGGATGTGCCCTTTGTATGTGGTAGAGCCATCTGTGGACACAAGGTGCAAATGGTATTCAGGATGCATAAGTCACTCGGTTCAGGGGCCTTGCCACATCTAGCTGAGTCTTCCTTGTGCTGTGGTCTCTTGCCCCCAGTCCGTCTCAGCTCCTGCCACTCCCTGGACCCCAGTCACATGGTTGATCCCCAAATGTAGGGAGGACATTACATCCTTGAAATACATGGTTACTAAGGATGTGGAATTGTAATGTGCCAGGTGGGGG
Organism: Homo sapiens; assembly: GCF_000001405.40. Lineage (NCBI taxonomy): Eukaryota > Metazoa > Chordata > Mammalia > Primates > Hominidae > Homo > Homo sapiens. The sequence goes on from NW_025791787.1 coordinate 226,451, forward strand.
CAGATCCAGGACATAACATTATAAAGGCAAACTCACCTGAGAAAGGTTACTTAGAATGAGAAAAGAAATCACAGTAAATTATGTATTTTTGAACAAATACCATGGATTTCACAGTATCATAAAAATAACATTTTTATAAGTTGACACACCTCTGAAATACTTGCTTCTTGAGGAATTGTACTGCATTGGTGGTGATTTGCGTGTTTCATCAGGAACTGTCTACTTCTTGAGGACAAGATTCATTAGAATTCCTAATTTGCCAATTGCTACTCTGTGGTGGGTAAGATGTGCCTTTTAAAAGTAATGCTATGGTGCTTTGCCTGACAAAAGAGGAGTTCTGATAAGTTTTATTGCACGTGACTTTCATCAAAATGGAGAAAAATATGTTGTGTTTATAATTAAATTTACTGCACTTTAAGCATTTTCCTGACCAGAAAACTTAGCTTTTGCCTAGACATCAGTGAGAACTGCTTACTCCTTATAAATGTAAAGACTGAGATAATTTTCTATAGACTAGCTCCTGGCCCTTTGAAGCATGTTTCTCTTCCACCACCCACATGTATGGAGCTGTAGGAAATAAGAGTACCTTCACACTGAGACACGAGAGGACTGGCACAGTCTGCAGGGTACCATTCCACGAAGTCGTTCCTCTGGATTGGCTAGCAGTAAGTTACTTATACATGGAAGTGACTAAGCTGTGAAAATATCCCCAACAGTCCAATTAAGCATGTCCCTTGAACCTTCCCATTAGCTGGATCTCGAAATGCCTGCGGCCACTCTGATGTCCCCCAACATGAGGGACAGTGTGAGTGAAGGGCAGTGGGAATGAGCATTGGAAACCAGTTGCCATGACAACACTGCTCTTTTCAAATCTCACAGAAGCAAGAACACGCAAACACGTTGTTGGGGGTCCCACCTATGGCCTTAGAAGCGTCCTGTGCAAGTGATGGGTTGGGAGTGAACACCTCATCAGCTTCAGAGTTGGAGGGGGATGCTCTACGCAGGGGCCGGGGGTTATGGGTGAATTGTGACTTCCCCACAAATTCATTTGTTGGACACCTAACCCCAGTACCTCAGAATATGACTGGAGTTGGAGATAGGATAAAGAGGTGATTAAAATGAGACTGTCAGGGTGGACCCTAACGCAATATGACTGGTGTCCTTGTCAAGAAGAGGGGATGAGGACACATGCATGGAAGGATGACCATGTGAGGGCACAGGGAGAAGACTGCCACCTGCAAGGCAAGGAGTGAGGCCTGAGCCCATTTTTCCTCACAGTCCTTAGCAGAACCAACCCTGCTGACACCTTGCTCATGGGGTTCCAGCCTCCAGAACTGTGGGATAAGAGATTTCTGTTGTTTTAGCGCCCCCTTGTGTGGTTCTTTGTTGTGGCAGCCCCAGGAAGCAAATAAGTGGGACACCTGGGATGCTGTATTGGATATTTGCGGTTGAGTTGTAGGCGAGTGTTTAGTTTTTCAAAAGTATTTTGTGTGTCTATCTATATACTCTTTTACATACCAGCAATTAGAGTTTGCACAAGATATAAAAGAAATCTCTGCCTCTTGTACTGACAGTCTAGTGGAAGACATAGACACACATAAATTTGTTATCATAATTATAAATAAAATATGTGTACAACAACAAAAATACATTAGTGCAGTGTGGATGCATCATAATTTTTATGTCAATCTTATTCACGATTCAGGCCAAGTGGTATGCCAAGATCACATCCTTTTCTCTGTGGGAGTCTGTGTGCCGCTAGAAGACAAACCTTCCTTTTCAGAAACAAATGCATTGCTTTTGTTATCCTCCCAGAAGGTGAACTCTGGATTGTGACTATCTGCAGATCTTTTGCTCTCGTTCCTGAAATTTCTGTTGTCTTTGTCCTTTTCTAAGAGAATAATGCGTTTCATTCATTTATTTGTTTATTCCTCATTTATTGGACACCTATTTTTCCAGGTGGTATTCTAGATTCTGAGAATAAAGACATAAATAAAACAGGCCCACGCCCCTGCCTCTCTGGGTACATCCGTTCATTCCGGTGGAGGTCAAGGTAGCCAGAACCTCATGAGGAGGTAGAGGCGTGTGGGCAAGGAGGCGATTGTAGTGGGGAAGCTGGAGCTGGGAAGCACCTGCCGGGCGGGAGTCTGCAGTTTTGAATATGGTGATCACTGAAGGTCTTTCAGGGATGAGGTGCTGTCCATTCTTATTGCAGTTAGGGGTTTTGTGCTTCTCCTGATTTCTGAGGGGTCAGGAGCAGAGATGAGCCACTGTTACCTTGAGCCCACTGCCTGACCCTGGAAGCCTTGCTCAGGCTGATTATGGGTCAGTGTCCGGTCTCAAACTGTCTGGCCCTCTGGGTCACTCTGCTTGCAGAACTGAATGTCTCACACCGGCCTCCCTGCCCACATCTGAAGGGTGGGAGTGCCAAGCAGCTCTTCATGCCTGGTGCTGGGATTAAGTGAAACTTTTGCTAACGATTCAGCTGAGACCAAGCTGGCAGTTTTCCGGAGACACAGAGGGTGAGTGTAGCAATTTGGGCATGGAATCAAATTCATATAAAATGCTGTTCAGCTCTCCTCTTTCATGACCAGAAACACAGTTTCAATGCCAAAAAACACTTAAAGCCCCACCCTCTGGATGCTGCAGATGACTCGGACTGGGCGTTTCACAGAGATTCTGAGTTTTCTTTCAAGCAGTCAAGATTTCTTTTAGAAAAAAATAGATACGATGGGGTTATCACAAGTGATTTCTATTCTTGTATTTGATACCTTTCATATTCTCCAGGTTTTATTTTATAACCTGGTTAACTTTTATAATAAGAGAAAAATTAAGCTCAAACAAACAAAAAACCACACTGGATTTGGATAAACTTGAGACTCCCGTAAGTCATCCTTGGTTGATTCCAAAGCCCATCTGATGGAGTTGGAATTTTATGTTTAATTCCGTCAAGCAGCACACTTCTGCTTCTGCACATTTTCCCCAGGAAGTCACGAGAGGAAAGTAACAAAATTAAAGACAAATAGACTTCTTTAACTGCTAGGAAACATTTTATAAAATCCTATCTGGGCAAACTGGCCTCTTATTTTTTATTTTTATTTTTATTTTTTTGAGACGGAGTCTCGCTCTGTTGCCCAGGCTGGAGTGCAGTGGCGTGATCTTGGCTCACTGCAAGCTCCGCCTCCCGGGTTCACACCATTCTCCTGCCTCAGCCTCCCAAATAGCTGGGACTACGGGCACCCGCCACCACAACTGGCTAATTTTTTATATTTTTAGTAGAGACAGGGTTTCACCATGTTAGCCAGGATAGTCTCGATCTCCTGACCTTGTGATCTGCCCTCCTCGGCCTCCCAGAGTGCTGGGATTATAAGCATGAGCCACTGCACCTGGCCCTGGACTCTAATTTGTTTGAGTTCAGACAATTAAGAAATAATAGTATTGTTTTTGTTTTTAAAGAAAGGATAAGAAGAAACGTGGGCCTCTAAAGATCATCATGGCAAAAGGTAGCCCTGCTTGCCTTCCAGTCAAAGCCTTCCCGGCTGGTTTGTGCAAAGCTCCAGAGCCGCCTGCTGCTCCTCCCCTGAAATGCTTTGCTTGTTTTCAGAAGTGCTGCATGGAGGCAAGAGGCTCTCTTCTTGGTTTTCTAAATTCACATCTATCTTAGGAAGGGGGTGGAACTGCACACCCTGGGCTTCGCTGTTAGTGGGAGATGACGCGGCCATCCCTCATCCCTCGGGATTGTGGACAGGGTGCTGGCCTGCAGAAAAGGACATACTGGGGCTTTATTGCTTCTGGGCTGGGAAGCGTTTCAGGGCTCCGAAGCCCACACCCATCTGAGGAAGCGCTGCTGCACTGGCCTGGGCCTTGGGCAGGTGGCATCAAATCCGATGCTGGGCTCTCACACGCTCTGCTGGGGCATTATGGACCATCTTTGCAGTTTGGCATGTTCCAAATTAACAAGGGCTCTGCTCTGTGGCCTCTTCCTAGCTGTTGATTCTGAGTGAGTGATCATTTTAGTAGAATTTAGATGTTCCAGCCTGGCATTCTGAGGGCAGCTGTCCTTAAGTAGAGCAGAGACAGAGATGAAGCTACAGCTGCAGTCTGTGATCAGAGCCAAAGCACGTGGACCTCCTGCAGCCCCTAACCCTTCTGCGTCACGAGCACCCTAAATTGCAGAAGGAAGCTGAAGGGGCAGAGGGGATATGGTGATTTTAAACTGTAAGGAACTTCAGGGCAAGTTTTGCACTGATTGGGTCTTTGCAATGTAATTTTTCTTAAAAAGCTTGTTGTAAAAGCATAATTAGAATGTTTTGCACATTTCTTTCTATTCAATGGAGAAATTGCACTGGGTAGATGTCACTCAGAATCCAGTTCTGGCCCTTTCAGGGAGTGAGACTTTAAAACAAGTACACAAGGTCCCACTACTCTTGGTGAAACTAAATGGGGCTGCTCAACTCCATTCCCAATCCCCATGGAAAGTGTGTGGTGAGCTTTCTCAAGTAGCAGCAGCCGACAGTATTAACAGCATCTCTACATTGTAAATACATCCATGGAGGGAGAAGGGAGGAGCTCTGTATAAACAGGAAAGTATAGAAGGGGCAATCAGGGCTGAGCTGCACCTGGGTCAGTAAGGTGGCTGCTCCCTGAGTGCAGAGACACAGCCTGTCCTGCCAGGAGCATGAAACCTATTCAATCAACATTTTTGTATGAATGTGCATCAGTGATCCTCAAGATATTAATAGGAGTTTCAGGGGACAAAGGCATTCTAGCGGCCCAATGAGGAAACCCCACAGTAAACAGGCTTAAATTCTTGTAGCATCTGTAATGTTCTGTGGGCATCCAAAATCCCAAATGTGTGTTCAGGGACACTTCCTCAGTGTCCCTAAACACACATTCTTTGGAGAGGGGTCAAAAGACTTATTAGTCGCTCCCAACAGAAGTGTCCAAGGAACACAAATTCAGAAAATAGCAATTCAGCTGCACTTCCTTATTTTGCAGGTGAAAGCCGCCATTTGGTTTAATGGGAAGAGGTGGTTTTGGAGTCAGAAGACTGAGACTGGGATCTGCCTCCTAAGGATGATGGGTATTGGAAAGTCACGCCTATGTATCCATTTGTACATTTGAATAGGGGTGTAGTTGTGGCAATGATCTGTAGCTTTTACTGAGCACAAGGTAGGGTGCCTAGAACTCAGGAAGTGTTTAATAAATGATAGCTCTTGAAATTACCAATGGAAAACTGAGTCCTGGTGAGAACCAACTGGCCCAAGGCCAGCCAGTAAGGGAGGTACAGGGCGGAGCTGGGTCTGGGTTTCTTGCCTCCCCATCAACATTCTTTTTACTGTACTACACTAACTGAGAATAGAAGTTGTACATAGTTGTATTTCTCTTATAAGGATAACAAATCAAATAGATGTTGCCAGATGTTTCTGTTTCACAGAAGAATGAAGTTAATGGTTGTATATCAGGGCTCAAACCTAAGATTTAAAGAGAGATTGCTGAGCAAGAGCAGCCATAAAAGACGTCTATGTTGGTATTTCAGCATTCCTGGGCCGCATAAAGCACCATTTGGTCACATCTGGTCTCCATCAGGCCTGAAGTGTTACATAAATACATGCATGGTTTATAGGGTAAGGAGGCCCTGTTGAGACTGGCCAGATGTGATCTGTTTAGGCTCTGCAGACAGGGCCCAGGAAACTGCCTGATAGCCCTGCACAATGCCCTCCCAAGGGACAGAGCTCTCTGCTGCCATCAGTGCATCTAGGGCAGAGATACCATGCTAGCTGCTGTCACTCATGTCCAACATGCTTGGGTGTTCAACCTCCCTCTGTAAAAGCTCTTATTATAGACAACCAGTGGAGTTCAGTTCAGAAGTTAGAGAACAAAATGCTTTAATGACCTTGTGGGCTCCATCCATCCATCCATCCACCCATCCACCCATCCACTCATCCATTCATCTACCCATCCACTTCACCCACCCATTCATCTATCTACTCATTCATTTATGCATTTCTGCAATCATTTACCCACATGCCCATTCATCCATCTACACATCTATCTCCATCTATATTCATCCATCTTTCTATCCATCTATCCATCCACCTGCCTGTCTGTTCAATCTGTCCATCCACCTATCCAACCATTCATTCTTATCCATGCACCCACCCATCCACCCTCCCATCCAGTTATTCAATGAATATGAGCTCCTTGCATGTGCAAAGCACTAGTCTAGGCACAGGGAATCCCGCAACAAACAAGTCAGGCATGGAGCTGACATTTGTATCATGTTCCAGAGGGGGAGACAACATTGAGTAATTCCACAATTATTCATTGGCTAGGGTAATAAACTCTCAGAAGAATTACAAAATGCTCCAAGAGTGTGTAATAGGAGATGCCTCCTAACTAGGAGGCCAGAAAAGGCTTCCCTGACGCAGTGGGAGTGCCGTGGGGCAGCCCGGAGCTCTGGCTACAGCCCTGCACCCACCCTGGCTACTGCTTGGTTGGTTTTGTTTTCCCCAGGCCTGCCGATTTTACAGTTAACTCTTTCCTCCATATCATAAGCTTCCAAAACAAGGTTATCCCTTGTTTAGGTAAAACCATTAAAATTTTCCTAGTATCAAGTCCCCCAAGCAATCTAACTAAAAGATTGAATCACAAAATAGAAAAGTCCCTTCTACCACAGCTAATGCTGGAGGAGAATTCCAGGGATCCCTGCACAGCAGTCTCAGGGCAGCATGCCTTCCTCCCCAGGCCACCCGGGGCTCTGAGGAAGGCTGTCAGACTTCGGCCCCTTCCTGTATACTGAGCTCCTGACCACAGTCTTGTGCCGGTTTTGCTTTTTTAAAAGGGACAAGCAAACAGGAATCTTCCCCATGCCTACCCTCACTCGTGCACACAAAGTGGGCCTGGCTGTCATTTCCTCCTGGGGTCTGATCTCTGTTTTATGCTCCTGCTTGTTGATTCTGACCCAGGTAAGCCACACAGGGAAAAGCCATCTCCCTGCTCCTTGCTTCGGGGCAGCAGAGCCATTTCACACACACAAACACCCTGCACCCCAGCTGCCTGGTTTCAGTGGCTGCTTGCTTGTGGCCAGACAGCCGAAGGCCAGGCAGGGCCCGGCCTCTGTTCTCAGGTCTCAGCAGTGATTATGCATGCGAGGTAATTACACTGGTCTTGTTTCCGTGCTCTAGGCCTAAGCCTGGATATTCAAGGAAGGGAGCCTCTGGTTTTTTGCTACGTTATAATTTCTTTGTAGGGACAGGGCTCTAGGCGACTCCCAAATGGGCTACCTGTGCCGTGGCCACTCATTTCCTATTGTGCAGAGTAGCAATTACACAGCCAGAGGCTGGCCATGGGTGGGTTTGTTCTTCTCTGTGACATGTATTTTGTGAAACAGAAGAGAGGTCCTCTGTTTCTGAAAGCAACTCTTAAAATAAATACACCAGGCTCCTCCAAGGAATATCTGCATGAGAAGAAGTAAGCTACTATGTCTAGTGGCTCTCAAAGTGTTTTGGCGGGTTGGTCAGTCGGTCCACACAGGGAGAGAGGGGCAGGACAAAGGCCTCACCTCCCACTCAACACTTAATCCTGGTCTTGGGAAAGTTAGCGTTTGCCCACAGGTGACATGTTCTCAGGGCCTGACTACCTGCGGGTGGACACCAAGGATAAGCTGTGTCTTGAATTTTTTTAAAGCTTAAAAAGAAATTACTTCCAGCTGTGCATCATGAGAAGACACTGGTTGGTGTGTGTGAACCGATTTGCAGCACAAAGGGCCCCAGAGTACTTGGCTGGGCCAGATAGTGATGATGACTCATGCTGTCTTTACAAGATACTGCATAAACCTAGAGCAAGACAGAAGTTCCTCCCTCCCGACTCCACCCCCTGGCTTTATTGAGATGTAATTGACAAATAAAGCTTGTATACAGTTAATTGTACAATGTGATGATTTGATGCATGTGCATATCATGAAGTGACGGCCAAGATGAAGCTAATCAGCACTTCCACTGCCTCACATGGTTACCATTATTTTTGTGTGTGTGAGGACACTTCAGTTCTACTCTCTTAGCACATTTTCAACATACAGTACAGTATTATTAACTATAGTTACCATGCAGTTCATGGATCCTCAGAACTTAAGTATCTTATCACTGGAAATTTGTACCCTTTGACCAAAATCCACACAGTTTTTTCCTACTCCCCAGCCCCTGGTAACTGCCCTTCTACTTTCTGCTTCTAAGAGGTCAACTTCATTAGAGTCTGGTGCATATGTCTGTACTATGGAGTAGTATTCAGCCTTAAAAAAGAAGGACATCCTGCCGTTTGTGACAACAGGGGTGAATTCAGAGGACAGTGTGCTAAGTGAAAGACGCCAGACAAGAAGGACAAATACCAGATGGCTGTTCCTGAGAATCGAAGCAGGAAGAAGTTGCCCTTGACACTGAGCCCTTCCTGTGGCCAGAGGAAGCTGAAGGCAAAGAGGGAGGCTGGACCGTCCAGGTGAGAGGCACCTGACTGACCAGTGTCCAGCATGCTTGGCCTGGGGCAGCAGGGCTGATTGTGCAACCCAGCCTTTGGCTTCTCAGAGGCCCTGGAACAGCACACATTCCCTGGTGGTTTGAAATCTGAGAGCCGGAAAGAGCTTTCTGCCTTTCCTTTTGTGTCAGCTCACTTACTTGAAGAAAGCCCATCATCACAATGTTTTCTTTGGGTCCTGCTTACAGGATCTGGGCTTGTTTTGTTTTTCTTCTTGTTGTGTAGGGAGGGACCAGGATGGGAAAGCAATGTCCCTTGTAATTGTTGGGGTTTGTGCTTCTCTTGTAAAGCCTTGGGCTCAAGACCAGTGATCTGCAGTATAATGAGACTCGGCCAGGCCCTGCTCCCTGGAGGAGACAGAGGGACCATGCTGGTAACTTCCTTAACATCATTCAAAGGAAAGCCCAGTTTTTGTTTTCTCCTAAAGTGAAACTGCAGCCCTAGGTAAAAGGTACCTTGTAACCCCACGGATGTCTGTCTTCTACCTTCTCATTTCCCTTCTTCCTCTTCCTTTCTTTTGCCTTTTTCCCTTTTCCTATTTCTATGTTCCATAATCTGGAAGACCCATATATTTTCCAACTTTACTAATGTTTCCAAGAATTTGCATTAAAAGTAGCTGCTACAGTTCCTCATTAACTTGGACCCCATCTCTGGGAGTAAAGTGGGCAATTATTTCTCTGATTAACAAGGGAGGAGACAATGGGCACAGGGGCTCCTTCAAACCCAGACAGTGTTGTTTGTATCTAGATACTGCTAGACCACTTATGTCATTTTGGTTTGGTTCCCACATTTAATATCTTCCCCAAGTCATGTTGACCAACTCTGACTCAAAGGCCAGGATTCTTGGTTGTCCCGAGGCCCTGTTTCCCCACTGTTGAGTTGACAAGCCCATGGGAATTTCCCAGGGGTATGTGTAGCTCTGAGTTCTGGATAGTGTTTGCCACAGGACTGGGCTTCTGATGACACCAGGAGCACACACACATTGCTTAGCAAGAGTGTGCAGCTTACAGAATGGCCAGGCAGAAAGTAGAAAAGAGAGAGAGAAAAAAAGCAAAACTCGAGCTCAATCCAGAGACTCAAGCAGGGAAAAGATGCAGTGATTCTAGAGTGGCATGTGGGCCTTCAGAGGTGAACTCATGGAGGAGATGTGCAAAGTTTTGTGTCTGCACCATGTGGCACTCCACTGCTTATGACAGTGAAGTTTCAACCACCAACAAATGGCCCAGGGCAGGGGATTGTGACTTTTGGATTGCATGGATCACCAATATTTTAAAAGGAGATTCAAACAACACAACTGCTCCTTATCATCTCCTCAATTCATAAGAGAAACGGCAGCTGAACACTCCAAAAGTGTAAGAAGTACATAATCTCAGAACAATGGACAATCTTTAAATAGGATAAAGTTGTCTTTATGAAAAATTTATTACACTGTTTATATTTATCTGGTTTTATTATGGACTTGTAGGAACTTGGTTTCTGAGAGCACTGGTCCTGTGCTGTCTTGGGCCATTAGCCTAGAACAAGGGTGTTAGATGGGCGTTAACTTCAGGGCCAGCTCCAGCAATGGCCAGTGGATGACTGGGAACACTGTTGGGAAGGATTCTGAAGTGGAGTCCAGGCTCAATCATTAATTAGCAATATCTGACATGGGCATCATGGTCATTTTGAAGCACGTTCACAAATCCTTTTGCACTACTTTCATTGAAAGGGGGAAATCTAACTTTTAGATATGGTTTGGCTTGCTTCTGACAGACAGAATGTGACTTTTGAGCACTCACACTTGGAACCCAGCCACCACTGTGTGAAGAAGCGCACAGCATACGAGGTAGTCGGCAACACATGGGTGCCCAGAACAAGAGCCCAGCTGAGGTCCCAGCAGACAGTCAGCGTCCCCCACCAGGCACCTGAGCTAGCCTACTGGTGATCCCATCAGCAGTCATCAAGCTTCCCCAGACAGAAGTGTGTGAAGCAGTGGGAAATTGCTCCTGCCAAGTCCCGGTCAATGTTACAAATTTGTGGTGAAAAAAATATTGCCATTATCATAAACTATGAGTTTTTGGGGTGGCTTGTTATGCAGCAGAAGATAACCAGAGCAATCCCAGGATGGAAATGTGGCAGCAAACATTCACTATCCCTATCCAGAGCATTCTCAGCTATTATTCTTCCACCAAGGTACCCCTGATTTTATTTGAAAATTTAAAAACGAAATGTGTCTTGCCTAAGTTGATGAAAAAGGCCAAGGTCACATTGATTTCAGTAGGTTGCACTCAAATGGACCAATCCTCCATGTTGAACTCAACTTCTGCTCACTCCTCTGAAAGATACTGCAGGGTTACCATGACAACCTGAACATATGCTGGGTGAGAAACACGAAGAACAGAGAACAGGGGAGCACAGGGCCATTTTTTGCTGGGAGAATGTTTTCTAAAAAATATATTTTTTTCCAGGCCAAATTATTTGCAGCTGGTCTTCTCTTGGCAAGAACACTTCATCTGGCAGTGTATTTTCTGTCCTATAGAAGTGAAACATTCCCTGTAAATAGCAGGGAAATTAAAAATATTCTCTTTGTATCACTTTTAAAAACCTCCCACAACTGCTATGGGCAGAACAGATGTCTCCAGGGACCTTGAGGTGCCCTCGCTGCCCCTGAAGGCTCGGGCCCACCTGTCCACTCAGGATGGGTCTCTCCAGAGTGCTTGCCCACTCACCAAAGCCCTCTGTGTAAAAGGTTGTTGGTGCCAACTGTATTCTGCTTTCTAAAGTGGTTGCACCAGAAGAATTCAGTCTGAGGTTAAATTAGGGCATAAGAATTTCAGAATTCAGAAGAGAGAAGTCCTGCACCCCAACACTCAGAAACATGCTCCCAGGCTGAACTTTCAGACAGCTGAAGGACACATTCCCATGCTTGGGTCATTCATTAGAAACTCCCTTTCTCCAGTAACTCCAGTGAGCAAATGTGAAATGTTTTGTGCTGCAGGTGATGCAGCATCTGTATTAGGTGCTGCCTGTGTGATGATGATGAAGGCCTTTGAAGGCTCAAACAGCATAGACACATGGTGAGTCATAAAACTGCCTAATTTTAGTGCAATTAGGGGGAACAAAGGAGCAGCGAGGTCAGCTTTCTGGAACATGCATCCTCTGTGCTCCTTCCTGGGGATGGGTTGGGTGAGCCAGGTAGAAGGCCGGGAGGCCCAGGTCTGGCTGGGCCCAGGGTGGGCACGGGCACAGGGCTGGAGACAGTACGCTGCTCCCTAGGTGGTGGGTCACTTGACATAGCCAGGGCATCTGCATGGCAGGAGCATCCCCATGACCACCACACTGGGAGGGAGGGCCCAGAGGCTCCTGCGGGGAGCCCAAAACGGCTCACCAGCAGGGAAGAAGGGCTCGCTGAGGCTGGGGGCGTGTCCCCACCTCCTCCTGCTGGAACTCCCACTCCTGTCCCAGAACCTTCTCAAGAGAAGAGAGGTTGAAAGACAGCAAAAAGAAGGCCCCAACTCTGCAGTGTTTATTTATTTACAGACACTTAGACTCCTTAGTGGAACTCTCAAAGGCTTCTGGACCTGAGCCTGGAATCCCCACCTCACAGGCCGAGGACTGGCCCCTCGAGCCTCCACTTCCACCTGCACAGCCACAGCCTCCACTCTGTGCTGCAACCCCTGAGACCAGTGGGTGAGGAGGCTGGGATGAGGTGGGGTGAGGACTTATTAGTGCAGGCCTTGGCCCCAAGAGGGCCCACTACCATGGGGGTGGGTAGACCCCTCAAGTCCCCAAGTGCATTCCTTCATCCCTTCCTGAAAGTTTTGGGGTCTGGACTGCACCATCCCTGACCTCTTCCTTCCACTTGACACCCATTTGCAGCTCCTGCTCAGGCATGACATCAAAGATCACTGCTTGAGGGGGCTCTCCTGGACCCCCAGGGATACGCATGCATAGCACCTTGTAACTCATACACATCTCAATTTAAAATGAATGTTTATTTGTTCACATTGAAGTTGCAGCTCTAGAATGCCTGCCTAACACATGGAAGGAGCCTGGCCCAGGGGACAAGAGGGGCAGGAACCATTCATAGAGGAGCCATCCCTTTAGAGCTGGAGTGGGGAGAGGGAGAGAGAAACAGAGGCAGAGAGAAAGGGAGAGACAGAGAAAGAGAGAGAGAGAGATGGAGAGAAAAGGAGAGAGAAGGAGAGAAGGAGAGAGAGAGAGACAGAGAGAAAGGGAGGGACAAAGTAGGAGAGAGAGGAGAGAAAGAGAGAGAGAGAGAGAGGACCAGGTGGACTTGAGTTTTGCCCATTGTGACCTCTCTTTGGAGGCCACACAGCATCACTTCCACTGCATTACACCCCTACCCCACCCCAGGCAGTCACCAACATCCAAGAAAAGGAAAATAAACTCTCCCTACTCCTTTAAAAAAATTGTGTCACAGTTCACATAACAACATTGACCATCTTAACCATTTAAAAATGTACACTTCAGTGGTACTAAGCACATTCACCTTCAATAAAACTGAAAAGAGGTACAGTTTTATTTAAAATAATAGCCTACAGACTATACTATCACTTAAAATATGGTCATTTGTGTGAAATTTATAAGGTTAATAATAAATAATAATATAATATTATGTATTATATAATATATATTATAATAAATAACATTATAATAAATGATACCCATGGGGGAAAAAAGTACATTCACACTGTTGCATAACCATCACCACCATCCATCTCCAGAACCATCCTTTGAATTAACCATATTTAGAGGACCTAGATCTGCCACTTTCTGCAGAAGAAAAATTTGCTGCAAGAAAACTGGATCCAGCCCTCAGGAAGGCAGCCCCCTGGTCAGCACACCTAACCCTGGATTAAGCTGGCTCTGTGTGGCGCCTATTCTTTTTGGGGTCCAGGTAGAAAGATGGGGGCTCACAGCAAGTTCCCAGCCACCACTCCTCTGGGCTCGGACAGCTCGAGAAAGGTCAACGTTCGAAAGTCCCTCAGATCCTGAAACATAAACACTGCATAATAAGAACGTTTGGAAAAAAAAGATGGTTTCCATCATTTCCCAGCTGTCTGGGTTAATGGGCCGCTTCTCTGAGAACTAGAGAGATTAGCCATAATAAGAGACACAGATGGCCATGTGTGAACCCCGGGGAACACAGCCCTGGCCCTTCGCACAGCTGTTTCCTGATTCACTTTTCTTCTTCAGTAAACACTTTCCTGCACTCTGTTTGGAAGCAGAGCCAGACCATCTGAGGCCCTTTGATGTTGAGGAAGAATGAAGCTGGATGTAAATTTCAATGGATGCAGGAATGAGGGCAAGAGACTTAAAGGAACTTCTCCAGCCCTCTGGAGCTGGAGCCCTCCGGAGCTGGAGCCCTCTGGAGCTGGAGCCCTCCGAAAGCAGGAATTCCGCCATGCAGAGAAGCTTGGGGTGTTGTGTGGGAAGGCTGCAGATGCTGCATCCAGCCCACCTCCTCCCTTGCCAAATAATGTTGACCTAAAAGAGTAGGTGGTTTATCTGGGGCCAATATTAATAGAAACATGTCCATTCTTGGTTTCCATAATTACAGGTCAGGGTTTCCCAGCAAGCTCTGTTGAAATATTCCCATGCTGGGATTGGGATAGAAACATGAAAAAGGCATCCCAGAGGTGCCTGGGAACCAGGACTCGTGACAAAAGTGAAGTGGATGTGTCTGTCTAGGCCCTTCCCATTGGAAGCACGTGTTGGAAAATGGCAAGCAGTCACTGCTGAAACAGCAACAGGCTTCAGGTGAGCACCGCACGTCAGAACCTGGCACTATGATCCAGACTGCAAAAGGGTGCCTCGCTCTGCAAGTCTGACCCATGGTGCTGTCACGTTGCATGTTGTGGAAAAGTGCACATAGGTAGAGGCAGAGCAGGCCTGCACCTTGCCAGGAAACAGCCTAGTGTGTTGTCCGTGTGCCTGAGCGCCAGGTCCGCGTGTGCAAACTGGCAGGGATGGCTCTACCTAGTGGGGTTGCTGAAGGATTGCGCACATGTACGGTAAGCCGTCCCCCGGGCATCCAATCAATTCCTGTTCCCTTCCAGCTTTTTTATCTCCTCTAACTCTGGGGTGTCAGATATAACCTAGCATAAACATGCAAAAAACAGAACACGGGTTCCTGCTATTTTGTGTTCTTGCTATATCATGTTCTCAGAAGCCTCTTCTCATTCCTGAGCCTGCTATACAAGATCAAGGAGCCCATCCTCACATTACTCCTGCTTTCCAAGAGCTAAGAGCTCAAGGACTCTTTTAGCAAGCTTGGCCCTGGCGTGTAGCTAGAGACCACCCTCCCAGACACCGACTCCAGCAGGCTGTAAATTGCAGCACTCAGGAGCTGTAGGACTTTGCTGGTGGGAAGAGGACCTAACCGCTCTAATTCCAACACAACTTATAAAACACGAACAGAAGCCTAGTCCAATCATTTGTAATCATTTTTAGGACAGATAACATTCCATTTCAGTGAAGTACATGGAATATGACTTTTCTTTTACACTTCTTATTTTAGAAAATTATAATGCGAAGTTTCAAAAGCATTATAAAGATGTCTGTTTGCAGCCAGGCATGGTGGCTCAAGCCTGTAATCCCAGCACTTTGGGAGGCCGAGGAGGGCAGATCATGAGGTCAGGAGTTGGAGACCAGCCTGACCAACGTGGTGAAACACGGTCTCTACTAAAAATACGAAAATTAGCTGGGCTTGGTGGCACACGCCTGTAGTCCCAGCTACCCTGGAGGCTGAGGCAGGAGAATCGCTGGAACCTGGGAAGCAGAGGTTGCAGTGAGCCGAGGTGGCACCATTGGACTCCAGCCTGGGCGACAGAGAGACTCTGTCTCAAAAAAAAAAAAAAAAAAAAAAAAAAAAGATGTCTGTTCGCTCTCTACCCAGTCTCGCTCAAAGCTTACATCCTGTAAAACTACAGTCTGATACCGAAACTGGGGTGCTGATGTTGGTGCAGCGTGTGTGCATAGCTCTGTGCCATTTGGTCACCTGTGGGAATTTCTGCAGTGACTGCCACAATTTAAGTAGCAGAGATGTTCCTCTACCACAAACACCCCCTCCTGCAGTCCCTTTGTTGTCTGCCCACCCCTCCCTAGCCCTCCCCTCCTAACACTGGACACCACTAATCTGTTCTTTATCTCTATAACTTAGTCATTTTGAGAATGTCTTACAGATGGAATGTTTTGAGACTGGCATTTTTTCACTCAGCATAATGCCCAGCCGACTCATCAAAGCTGCGCATAGGTAGTTCATTTCTCTTCCCTGCTGAGGAATATTCTATGGTACAATGTAGCACGGTGGCACAGTTGTTTCCATTTACCCCTTGAGGTTGCTTCCAGTTTTTAGCTATTACAAATAAAGCTGCTATGAACATTCATCTACAGGTTTTTGTGTGATTAATTTTTATTTCCCTGAGATCAGTGCCCAGGAACGTAATTGTTGGTTTCACGGCAAGCAGGGTAAGGGTATGCATGGTAAGTGTATGTATTATTATTATTTTTTCTCTTTTTTGAGACAGGGTCTTGGTTCTGTCACCCAGGCTGGAATGCAGTAGCATGATCATAGTTCACAGCTGCCTTGACCTCCATGGCTCACTCAATCCTCCTGCCTCAGCCTCCCAAGTAGCTGGGACTACAGGTGTGTGCCACCACGCCCAGCTATTTTTTTTTTTAATTATTTGTAGAGATGGGGTCTTGCTCTGTTGACCAGGCTGGTCTTGAACTCCTGGCTTCAAACTGCTAGGACTATAGGCATGAGCTACCGTGACTGGCCTGTTGCGGTTTTTAAGAAGCTGCCACACTGTTTTTGGGGGTGGCTATACCATTATATGAGCATCCCAGCAACGGATGAGAAATTCAATTTCTTTGCATCATCACCAGTATTAGGTCCATCACTATTTTCTTGTAGTTGTTCTAATAAGTATGCAATGATATTTCATCATGGCCTTAATCTGCATTTCCCAGATGGTTAACGAATGATGTTTAACATCTTTTCAGGGGCTTATTTGCCATCTGCATTCTCCTCTCTTAAATATCTGTTCATGTCTCTTGTCCACGTTCTAACTGGATTGCTGTTTTTGTTTTAACTGCTGAGCTTTGAGAGCTCTTATAGTCTATATTCAAGCCTTTGTCAGATTTGTGGTTTGGAATTAGGTATCCCAGTCTGTCATCGCGTCTTCCATCCTTTCACCTGGGCTTTCTCAAACCGAACATCTTTAATGTTGTTGTTGAAATCCAACTTCTTGATTCTTTTCTTGGATGGACTATGTTTTTGGTGTCATGTCTATTCACCACCCTTGGGCCTCCGAGATTTTCTCCTACATATTCTTCTAAAAGCATTATAGCTTTATATTTTACATTTAAATCTATAACTTATTATGAATTAATTTTGTCAAAAATGTGAGGTATATGTCGTTTCATTTTTTTTTTTTTTTGCCTGTGGACATCCAATTGCTCCAGTACTGTTTGTTAAAACTGAAATGTAAGATTTGAAAAGAGTTTTTAAAATGCCGTTTTGTTTGTGAATATATATGTGACATTACATTTCTTTGAGGGAGAGACTGATCGGGAGAATTCTCTTCAAGAAGGCTTTCAGACTCCAAAATGGAGACACAAAAGGCTTGTGTTTGTGCCTCCTGGGCCAACCCTCCTTAAGGGTAGGGCCTGGTTTGGTGGGTGGGTGGGTTACCTGTTGTGAGTAATGTACAGCTGGATGGCTATCGGCTGTGGGTACCACCTCAGCGGGGTGCTGTCTGTTGGTGATGTCACAATGAAATCTGTCCCTGTGCTTGATGTTACCAGCTCTCCACCTGCTTCTTCAATTAGCACAGGGCCTGCAGCCTGCCTAAGTGGGTGGGGTCGGCGTGCATAGGGCACATGTCAGGCATGGGACTGTGTGACTGCTGCTTGTAGCACTGGCCTTGTGCCAAGGTAGGAAAAAAAGTTTTTTTTTTTTCAGAGATGAAATGTCACTCTGACACCTAGGCTGGAGCGTAGGGGTACAATCATGGCTCACTGCGCCTTGAACTGTTAGGCTCAAGAGATCCTCTCATCTCGACGTCATAAGTAGCTAAGGCCACAGGCATGAGCCAAATGTCTGGCAGATTTTTTTTTTTTTAAATAAACACATTAAATGAATGAATAGTTAAATGGTAGTTGAATCTATAAAACATTGTCAACATGGCCTTTTTTCTGGCGGATGACTTAATTTGATAAAGCAGCACATTTTACTGCATACTTAATACAGAGATTTAATTAAATTCAGTGTTCCTCTCTCCCCATCCAAACAAGACTGATTTTGTATTTGTGTCTAGAAGCACTCACACCTGGGTGCTCATTTCACACATGGGGCTGGTCTAGGTGGAAGCAGTGGGGCAGAGGCTTTCCTTTTCCTGTCCTAGCAGGCTCTCTGGGGGTCTCACTTGTGAAGGTGGGGGCTCTGTTTACTTGTTACTTGGGGGACATCTTGATGTGATCATTCCATTCAGTTGTTATTGGATTTTTGGTTTGTTTGTTTATTTTTGCGTTTCTGCCCTTTGGGGGTGGATCCTCTGGGGGCTGAGTGGATGAGCTCCAAGGCAGACAACCAGTGACAAAAAGAAAATGAACCCTGTGGCGGTGGCTCTTGCCTGTAATCCCAGCACTTTGGGAGGCCGAGGTGAGCGATCACCTGAGGTCGGGAGTTCAAGACCAGCCTGACCAGCATGGTGAAACCCCATCTCTATTAAAAATACAAAAATTAGCCAGACGTGGTGGCGCACCCCTGTAGTCCCAGCTACTCAGGAGGCTGAGGCTGGAGAATCGCTTGAACCCGGGAAGCAGAGGTTGCGGTGAGCTGAGATCAAGCCACTGCTCTCCAGCCTGAGCGACAGAGTGAAACTGTGTCTCAAAAGAAAAAAAAAAGAAAAAAAGAAAAAAAAAAGAAAAAAAGAAAAAAAAAAAGGAAACAGTCTCTGTGGCTGCTTTGTTGACGCTGGTGTCTGCCCTCTGGACTTCCCTCTGGTCTCCACTTTAGGCCCCACATGCAGGCTGGGAGGACTTGAAGCACTGCCCCTGCCCTGGAAGGTGGGCTGGGGTAAAAGACACCTGGATAGAATCCTCCAAAGGACACTGATGCTGGCTGCTTTTCAGCACATCACTTGGTATGATTCTGTTATGAGAGCAGTGGCGATAGTGAAAGAAGAGTGTGAAATCTTCCTGTTCTACCTACCTCCGCATGGCTCGTTGTTGCTGTTGAATAATCTGAGTGCCGTTAGGTGTCTGAAACTGCAAGAAATTCAAGGATACTGCCAATGGGCTCTTTCCTTCTTGTAATCCGTCCACAATCAGAACTTCTAACAGAGTACCAATAACCCAGAGGGCTTTTAATGAATCATTCTTAATTTTTAAAAATACTCAAGCAAGTCGTGGAAATGAATATTGCCAGACTTGAGAGAAGGGAGAGATGGTCCCAGAGTGGTGTGAGCAGGGAAGCCATTATGGATCAGGGGCATTTAAAAGGGGTCATAAAGGGAATGTGTAAATTAAACAACGAGTCCCCCTTTTCCTTAGTGCCCTTGTAAGTCTCCAGAGGCCTCTTCATAGTACTGGCTCTGCATCAGTATCTTGTGTGAGCCAGCACTCAAGGATTCAACAGCAGGCAGCCTGGTTGTATAAACTGAGTTTCAGGAAGAAACTGAGTTGATACATCCCAGGTTCTATTCCTTGGGAAAATAAAGAGAAAAAAGTAAATCCCAGATGGTGGTGCTAGAGAAAATCCCAAGCGAGGCCAATATACAGGGATTGGAGAGGGGGCTGGGCAAAGAGGTGGATACCGTGACATTTCAAACTTGCAGTTCCAAATCCAGAGCAGATGGGGAGTGTTGAGTTGCATTTCTGAGCTGGGTTATAAATGGCACTAATCAGCACAAGGTAGACTTGGCATTTCCTGAAAGCTCCACAGCGGCCTTTTTTGGGGGTTGGGGGACATTCAACATTCTACTGCGGAGAGCTGCAGCAGACCATGCCGTCTGGAATAATTACAATGAAAAGACACAGATTGGCAGAATGGATAAAAAACCATGGCCCTACTGTGTGCTCTTTATGAGACACTTACTTCACATTCAATTACACAGATAGGGTGAAAGTAAAAAGAGGGAAAAAGGTATACTATGAGAACATTAATTTTAAAAAAGACAGAAATGGCTACATTAGTATCCAATAATATAGATTTCAGAAGAAAGAAAATACCTAAAGACACAGAGGGATATTACATAAAGATGAAAGGGTCAATCTACCAGAAAGACATAACAATTCTTAATGTGTATACAAACAACAACAGAGACTAAAGTACATGAAGCAAAAAACTGACAGAGCTGAAACGAGAAATAGACAAACTCACAATTATGGTTGGGGACTTCAATGCAACCTTCTGATCAACTAACAGAAGTACTAGAAGAAGATCAGCAAAGATACAGAAGATTTGAAAAGCATAATCAACCAATAAGATCTAATTGGCACATAGATTATACTTCACCCAACAGTAGCTGAATACACATTTTTAAGTGCTCATGACCATTCACAGACCGTATCCTGACCAAAAACAAGTATCAAAAAAAATTTTTATTTTTTTTATTTTAAATTTTACTTTAAGTTCTAGGATACATGTGCAGAATGTGCAGGTTTGTTACATAGGTATACATGTGTCATAGTGGTTTGCTGCACCTATCCACCCGTCATCTCGGTTTTAAGCCCCGTGTGCATTAGGTATTTGTCCTAATGCTCTCCCTCCTCTTGCCTCCCACCCCCTGACAACCCCTGGTGTGTGACATTCCCTCCCTGTGTCCATGTGTTCTCATTGCTCAACTCCCACTTATGAGTGAGAACATGCAGTGTTTGGTTTTCTGTTCCTGTGTTAGCTTGCTGAGAATCATGGTTTCCAGCTTCATCCATGTCCCTGCAAAGGACATGAACTCACTCTTTTTTTATGGGTGCATAGTATTCCATGATGTGTATGTGCCACATTTTCTTTATCCAGTCTATCATTGATGGGGATTTGAGTTGGTTCCAAGTCTTTGCTATTGTAAATAGTGCTGCAATAAACATATGTGTGCACGTGTCTTTTTAGTAGAATGATTTATAATCCTTTGGGTATACACCCAGTAATGGGATTGCTGGGTCAAATGGTGTTTCTGATTCTAGATCCTTGAGGAATTGCCACACTGTCTTCCACAATGGTTGAACTAATTTACACTCCCATCACCAGTGTAAAAGCATTGCTATTTTTCCACAGTCTTGCCGGCATCTGTTATTTTCTGACTTTTTAATGAGCATCAAAATTTTTTAAAGAATTAAAGAGTATGATTATCTGAGCATAGTGGAATCAAGCTAGAAATTAATGACAATAAATGAAGGAAAATCTGTAAACATGTGGAAATTAAACAATATGCTTCTAAATAACCCATAAATTAAAGAGAAAGTCTCAAAGAAAATTAAAAAAATGGTAGAATGGAATGACATATTCATGTGAAAATACAGCAAATAAAAATATGTGAGATGTAGCTAAAACAGTGTGGGAGGAAAATTTATATCACTAAATGCTTACGTTAGAAAAAAGTAAGTCTCATGTTATAAATCTAAGTTCCTACCTCAAGAAACTGAAAAGAAGAGCAAAATAAACTAAAAGCAAACAGAGGAAGGAAACAATAAAGATCAAAGCAGAAATGAATGAAATTGAAAATAGGAAAACAATAGAAAAAGCTAATAAGACCACAAGCTATTTTAAAACAAATAATAAAATTGATAAATCTCCAGCAAGAGGTTTCACTAATATCAGGAATGAAATGGAGGAATAACCCTGAAGATCCTACAACCATGAAAAGGATTATAAAGATAATAAGACAATACTATGAACAACTTGATGTTCATATAAATATGAATATTTAGGAGAAATGGACCAATTCCTTGAAAATCTAAACTCAGCTAACATGAAACAGATAATCTGAGGAGTCCTATAATGATTACATGAATTCTTAATTGAAAACCTCCTGAAAAAGGCTGGTCCAGGTGCTTTCATGGGATACTTCTCCTAAATATTTTAAGGTGAATTAACAACATTTTAATACAATTTCTTCCAGAAGACAGAAGAGTAGGGAACACTTATTTTATTAGGTCAATATTACTCTATTACCAAAACCAGAGAAAGACATTTCTAAAATAGAAAACTACAAAACAATATCTCTTGTGAATTTACCTCAACAAAACATTAGCAAATAAAATCCAACAATATATAAAAGAAATTATATACTGTGACCAAATGGGATTTAATCCAGGTACAAAAGGCTGGTTCAATGTTCTAAAGTAAATATAATCTACCATATCAACAAGGCAAAAAAGAAAAATCATATGATCATATCAGTTGATACAGAAAAGGTATTTGACAAAATTCAGCATCTATTTTTTGATAAAACTCTCTCTCAGCAAGATTAGGATGGAGTGGAACTACCTGAACTGGATAAAGACTATTAACAAAGAACCTATAGGGAACATCATACTTTGTAGTGAAAGACTAACTTCTTTTTCCCTAAGACTGGGAGCAAGGCAAGACTGTCGATTCTCACTACTTTTATTCAGTATAGTACTGGAAATTTTAGATGGTGAAAGAAGGCAATAAATAGATAAATAAACAAACAAACAAATAAATAAATAAATAAATAAATGGCATACCAATTCTAAAGGAAGAAATGAAATCATCCCTACTTGTGAGTGACATGATTATCTATGTAGACAACATAAAGGAATCTACAAAATAAATAAATAAAAAGACAACGTCCTGGAATTATTGTGAGTTCAGTAACTTTGTGTGTTACAGGATCAACATGCAAAAATCAATTTCATTTTTATATAATAGCAATGAAAATACAGAACCTATAATTTAAAAATAGGGCACCATTTAAAATAGGAGAGATAAAAATGGGGCTGTCACTAGGACCCTACAGAAATTAAAAGGAATATAAGAGAATATTATGAACAGCTTTATGCCAGTAAATTCAATAATTTAGATGAAATGAACAAATTCCTTAAAACATACAAACTAATAAAGCTTATTCAAGAAGTAATAGATGGTTTGAATGACCCTATGACTGTAAAAGGAATGAAATTTGTAGTTAAAAAGCTTTCTCACAAATAAAACTTTAAGCCAAGATGGCTTTGCTCATAAATTTTACTAAATATTTAAGGAAGATATAATGTCAGTTTCACATAAACTCTTCCTGAAAACTAAAGAGGTGGGGATTCTTCCTGACTCATTCTATGAGGAGAGCATAGAGCATTACCTTGATACCAAAACTGGATAAAGATACTACAAGATAACTACAGACCAATGTTCCTTATGAACATAGAGGTAAAAATTCTCAACAAGAATTTAGCAAATTGAATCTTACCAAAGAGAAAGGATAACACCTTATGGAATGCAAGATTGGTTACCATTAGAAAATAATCAGTATAATTAAGTAAATCAACAGACTAAAGAAGAAAAACCATATAATCATCTCTATAAATGCACAAAAGGCATTTGACAGAACCTCAAATCCATTCTTAATTTTTGCAATGGGGAAACTTCATTAACTGCATAAAGAGAGTTTAAAAAAAGATATGCAGCTTACATTATGTTTAGTGTAAAAACAAGATCCTTTCTTCCTAAGATCAGTATCAAAGCAAGGATGTGTTCTCTCAGCATTTTAATTCACCATTGTACTGGGAGATGCTATCCAGTACCCTAAGGTGAATGGAAGAGAAGGAAGGAAGGAAGGAAGGAAGGCAGGCAAAGAGAGAGAGAGAGAGAGACAGAGAAAGACTAAAATTAGACAGATTGAAAAAGTAGAAATAGAACTATCTCTATTAGCAGCTGACATGCTTGTCTATACAGGAAATTCCAAAGAACCATTAAAAAAAATTACCAACTCTAGTGAGTTTAGGACATTTGCAGTAATAAAAAATGAATCGTATTTCTATATAGTAACAGAGTAAAATTAAAGTTAAAAAGTAAAATATCATGTAATGTTGTATGAAAAATCATAAAATACTTAGGTAAAAATCTAACAAAATATGTTCCATATCTGTATGCTGAAACTACAAGTCACTGATGAAAGAAATCTTAAAAAGCCTTAAATAAACAGAGAAATATACCATGCTTATTGACTGGATTGTTAAGCTGTCAGTTCCCCACAATCTAATTTATAAATTCCTTGCTATTCCATTCAAATCTCATCAGAAACTTTTTTTGTAGAAATTGACTAGCTAATTCTAAAATTTATAAGTAAAACTAAAAAATTTTTGAAAAAGAATGAGAACTCAGACTACTTGATTTCAAGATTTCATTAGCAGCTATAGTAATCAAGGCAGAGAGGTATTGGCAAAAAGTCAAGAGTGAGTCTAAAAATAGACCCACATGTATATGATCACTTGATTTTTTAAATAAAGGCACAAATGCAATTTAATGGAGAAAGTACAGTGTTTTCAACACATGGTGCTGAAAGGATTAGATCTTCACATGCAATAAAAAAATATAGATTCATACTTTTCACCATATACAAAAATTAACTCCATGTTAGCCATAGACTGTAGACCTAAATATAAAATTAAAACTATAAAATTTTAGAAGAAAACATAGAAGAAAAATTTTGTTACCTCAAATGAGGAAAGATTTCTTAGATAAAATAGCAAAAGCATGATTCATAGAAGAAAAAAATTGATCAATTAGATATCATCAAACCTAAAAACTTCTCTTTAAAAATCACTGTTAAGAAAATGAAAAGACAAGAATGGCAGAAAAGATTACCCAAATGGCAAAAACACATAAAATGATGGACAATATTAGTCATTAGTGAAACCACAAGTGAGATAACAATACACACCTATTCGACTAGCTCAAATTAAAAGAAAGAAAGAAACTGACAATCTTAAATACTGGTAAGAATGTGGAGCCACTAGAACTCTTATGTTTTGTTTGTGGAAATGCAAAGTGGTATGGCTTCCTTGAGAAACAGTTCTGCAGTTTCTCTTAAACTTAAACATAAAATTACCATAAACCTCTCAATGTCACTACTAGATTTTTACCCATTTGGAATGGTAACTTACATTAACATAAAAACCTGTAGGCAAATGTTTAAGTTTATAATGGCTTTATTTATAATCTTTCAAATCTGGAAAAATCCAAATGACCATATCCTTCAACTGGCAAGCGGGTAAAAAAACCATGGTATGATAATACCCTACTAAGCAATTAAAGGGAATAACTGCTGGTATGTGCAACAGTGTGGATAAATCTCAGATAGATTATGTTAAGTATAAGAAGCCAGAATCAAAGTCTACACACTATGTGGTTCCATTTATATCACAATCCAGAAAAGGCAAACCCAGAGAGACAGAAAACAAAGCAGTGGTTAACAGCAGCTGAGGATGGGGAAGGGGGTGGTCACTACAAAGGACCACAGAGAATTTTTTGGCTGATGACACTTCTTGAATTTAGTGACTTTATATTTGTCCAAATTTACAGAAGTGTGTAATTATATGGGTTAATTATAGTGCATGTAAATTATACCTTAATAGAAAATAGAAAAAAGTCAAAGATAACATTAAAAATAGTATCAAGTAAGACTAAATCTCAGACAATTATGCCAGCTTTCTAGAAAAATAACTACAAAATGTTTTTGAGAGAAATTAATGATGAAACTAAATAAATGCAGAAATATACCATATTCATGGATTAGAAAACCAACATTATAAAGATTTAAGTCTCCCCAAATTGAATTATAGGTTAAATACAATAACAACCAAAATTCCAGCATGAAAATTTGTAAAAATTGACAATCTTATTTGGCATCTATATAAAAATGCCAAAATAAAACAAGGCAAAACAGGCAATACCCTCTCAAAAATAATATATCAAGATGGAAGAACTTACACTATAATAAAACAAGGCTTTTAATAAATTTACTACAATTAAGACAGAATTCCAATGACTGAAGAATAGACAATTGTACCAAGTGATCAAAATGTGGGGTCCAGAAACAGAAATTTGTATGCATACTTGATTTATGGCAAGGTGGCACTGCAGAATAGTGAGAAGAGGAGGGTCATTTTAAGAAATGTTGCTGGGCCAGTGGGATATCCATACAGAAAAAACTAATCAGGTCTACTAGACACTGTTCACCAAAGCTCAATTCCAGGTGCACACTCCATGAATGTGAATGTGAAAGTATGAACAAGAAAACTTCTAGAAGACAAAGTAGAAGAATATCTTTATGATATTGTGCTAGGCAGAGAATGCTTAAATTGATCAAATAAAGCTCAACCATAAAATAAAAATAATGCTGAGTTGTACTACATTAAATCAAAAAGTGTCTGTTAATTAAAAACACCACTAGGAACATTCAAAAGGTCAACCACAAATTTAGAGAAAATACTTGAAAACCTGCAACTGATAAAGCCTCATATCCAGAAAATATGGATTTTTTCCAAATCAAGAAAATGACACGTAAGCCTATTTTAAAAATGAATATAAGACTTGAACAGACACCCCACAAAATATACTATCTAATAACATATAAATGTATTTAAAAATGGTGAACCACGTTGGACATAGGGAAATAAAAACTTAAAATTGTAAGGAGATACCACTACAAATTATAAATTAGACAATGGCAAGTGATGAAAAGGTATGGAACAATACAACCTCTTACATAATACTGGATAGGAGTGTAAAATGAGTACAATCAATTTATAAGACTGTTGACAGTATCACTATAGCTGAAACTAAAGTTAGCTGTGACCCAGAAATTTACCTAGATATAAATTCAATAGAACTATATGTACCAAAAGGCATGTATAAAAATCTTCATGGCAGTAATTTTTCGTAATAGCCTCAAATTAGAAACACGCTCAACACACCAACAATATTAGTATCTGTCAACACTAACATTGGTAAATAAATTGTGGTACATTCACACAATGAAAATGAATGTTCTGTAGCCATATGTAACAATTTGGATGCATCTCATAAACATAATTCCGAATGAAATAAACCAGACAAAAGGAATATATATTATAGGGTTCCATTTATATAAAGCTGTTCAGTAGGCCAAGTTAATCTATAGGTTTTAGAAGTCAGGGTAATGTTTAATTTTGGGGTGAAGCGGGGTAGTAATCAGCGTGGGCATGAAGGAATGTTCCTGGAGGCTAGTTAAGTTTCCGTTTCTTTACGTGGGTGGTGATTACAAGGATGTGATCATTTGTAGATGATTCACTGAGAATTTCTTGCTCTCAACAGATACTATAAAGAGGGCAAAAAGCCACAAGCAAGAAATATGTGCTGTATCTATAACCAACAAAGGGTTAGAATCCCAAGATGATAAAGAACTAAAAATGAATAACAAGGAGAAAAATGGCAAAATACATGAATAGGCACTTTCCAAGAAAAAGATGACTGATCCAAAACTGTATGAAAAGATTTTACATTTTGTTGTCATCAGTGAGACACAAATATTTAAAACTATAATGCAATGCCTTATTATATAAGGACTAGATTGAGAAACATTTGAAAATCAGAAAACTCCATGCTTAGGGTAGGCTGTTGAACACTGGGAACTCTCAGACACAGCTAAAGGTGTAAAGAATTGGTGCAACTATTTGGAAAACATTTGGTATTACCTAGTAAAGTTGAACACATACTCAGTACATAGCACAGCAATTTCACCCCAAAGAACATACCCTAGAAAAAACTCTTACATAGGCAGGAGACATGTTCCTAGTAGCATAGTAATGTCAAAAACCTGATAAAACCTAAATGCCCACCAGTGTTAGAAGGTATGAATAAGTTGTGGTTTATTCCACTTCCTTGAGGATGGAGTAACTACATAAATTATTTGGAAATCTACATGAGAGATTTGTTCATTCTTCCCCCACTTATTTATTTATTCATTCATTTATATCTGCATGAGCTCATGGATATTTATTTAATACTTTCAGTTATAATGGACCATTTAATTTATTTTGTTGCTCAAATCTTTCCAGTTTTGGCCATTGGGAGCTCTTTCAGTTTGCTGTTTTTGACATAACCTGTTCATTGTGGAGTTTTTGTTGTTGTTGTTATTCATTTGTTTTGAGTACTTTTTCTTTTTTTTCTGACTGTAAGACACTCCATGTTCATCTTGTATATTTCCTGCTGCAGTCCAGGAGTCATTCATTTTTGGAAGGAGTCCTGGCACCTTTTGTTGGAGAATCTTATTAGAGATTAGGATCTGGGCACTGGTGTGCTCATTGTTACTGGGGTATCATTGCTTCTGGGCTCATTCAGCTGGCAGGAAAAAGAAACGTTTGAGTGTATACTAACCTGTGTATATATGCATCTATATATATTTCCATATATAACATTGTATTTACAATAAGCTAAACATGAATTCGTGTTGAGGTCTCCAACTCTAAGGCCTTACTACACAGACCATTTCAGCCTCCTCCCTTTGCTTATCTGGAACTTCTTCCTCCAATAGTGAGAAATCTGGCTTCCACCATCCACCATCCATTTACTTGAATTCCAGTACACATGTGTAGCAGAATCGGAATTGCCAATCCATGTTCCCAAGGAAAACAACTTTATCAACTGGAGTATAGGGCTTATGAACACTTTCTTTTGTCTTACAAGCACCACTAATTTCCAAAGTTACTTAACTCAGCACATTTCTCCTTCACCCCTTCAATGAGATTGTTACATATATTTGTAATACAGTTAGATTGTTGTTGTCATGTTTGACATTCCACCTGGAATTCTCCCAGCTTTGTAAGTGATTTTGTAGAAATTTGCAGACATTAAGGTTTGCACACAGAACTTTGTGTTATAAAGTCCTACAGGTTTTGTTGAATGTGTAATGTCATGTATCCACCATTATAGAACCATGCAGAATGATTTTACCACTCCAAAATATCCTGTGCTCATATATTCAACCCTTTCTTCTCCCTTGAACCGTTGTCAGTGACTGATCTTTGCATCATCTTTTTAGTTTTTATTTTTCCAGAATGTCATATAATTAGAATCATATGGCATGTAGCTTTTTCAGATTGGCTCCTTTCACTTAGCAATAAACATTTAAGATACATGTATATCTTTTTGTGACTTAATAGTTCATTTATTTTTATTACTGAATATTTCATTTTATGGATGTGCCACAGTTTATCAACTTACTTATTAATGGATATCTTGGTTGTAGATAGTTTCTGGTGATTATGAATAAACATTCACATGACTTTTTTAATTGGTTGGATAAATACCTAGGAGTACGATTGCTGGATTTTATTGTAAAGCTATGTTTAGTTTAATAAAAAAACTGACAAATTATCTTCCAAAGAGGCTGTGCTATTTTGCATTTTCTGTAGCAAAGAATGACAGTTCTTGTTGCTCTGCATCTTCAACAGTATTTGGTATTGTCAGATTTTAAGTTTTAGTCATTCAAATAAGTGCTTAGTTTTGTTTCAGGGTGCAATTGCCTAACAACAAATGACACTGAGCATCTTTTAAAATGCTTATTTCCCATATGTATATTTTCTTTGGTGAGTTGTCTGTTCAGATCTTTTGCCCATTTTAAATTGGGTTGTTTGTTTACTGGTTGAGTATTAAGAATTCTCTGTGTATTTTGATACAAGGCCTCTATTAGATATGTGTTTTTCACACAAGGCCTCTGTAGATATGTGTTTTGCACCTATCTCCCAATCTGTGACTTGTATTTTTAGTCTCTTAGCAGTGTCTTTCAGATAGAGGAAGATTCTAATTTTAATAAATGTCACATTAATTTTTTCTCTTATGAATTGTGATTTTGCTGTTGTATCTAAAATCTCATCACCAAACTCAAGTTGACTTAGATTTTTCTCTTATATTTTCTTTTAAAAATTTTAAAGCTTTCCATTTCGGTCTATGGTCTACTTTGAGTTAATTTTTGTGAAAGGCATAACGTCTGGGTGCAGGTTCTTTTCCTTCTTTTGGAAGGGGGAGAAGGAGTCTTGCTCTGTCACCAGGCTGGAGTGCAGTGGCGTGATCTTGGCTCACTGCAACCTCTGCCTCCAACACGATTCCCCTGCCTCAGCCTCCCAAGTAGCTGGGACTACAGGCCCGTGCCACCATGCCCGGCTAATTTTTTTGTATTTTAGTAGAGACAGGGTTTACCATGTTGGCCAGGATGGTCTCGATCTCCTGACCTCGTGATCCACCCGCCTCGGCCTCCCAAAGTGTTGGGATTACAGGCATGAGCCATCGTGCCTGGCCCAGGTTCATTTTTTAACATATGGATGTTCCAGCACCATTTTTAGAAAATACTATTCTTTCTCCATTCAATTGCTTTTGCTTTTTTGTCTAAAACCAGTTACATTTATGTGGGCCTATTTTTGGACTTTCTGTTCTGTTCTATTGATCTGTGTGTTTGTTCTTTCACCAATACCACACCGTCTTGATTATTAGAGCTTTATAGGAAGTTGTGGAATTGAGTAGTGTGAGCCCTCCAATTTTGTTATTCTTCTGTATTGTGTTTGACTTTCTAGGTCTTTTGCCTTCTCTGTAGACTGTGCAATTACTTTGTGGATATCCAAAAAATAGTTTTCTGGGATTTTGACTCCGTTGTATTGAATTTAGGAAGAATTGACATCTTAAAAAAATTGAGTCCTCCATTCCTTGAACATGGACTATCTCCCTATTTATATAGATCTGTTGTTTATATCTTTCATCAGGAGAGTATTGTATTTTACACATATAGATCCTATATATATTTTGTTATATTTATACTTAATGATTTCACTTTTTGGTACTATTGTGTGTTTTTTAAAATTTCAATTTCCAATTATTTATTGCTGGTGTATAGGAAAGAAATTGACTTTCGTATATTAGTCTGATATCCCACAATTTGTTATACTTGCTTATTAGTTTCAGAAGTATTTTTGTCAATTCTTTGGAATTATCTACATAGACAAACATGACATCTGCAACAAAAAATAGTTTTATATTTTTCTTTCCAATATGTATGTCTTTTATTCCCCTTTTTGATATTTTGTTGAATAAGAGTGTTGAGAGAAGACATTCTTACCTTGTTTCCAATCTTAGTGGGGAAAGAATCTAGTTTCTCACCATTAAGTATGATGTTAGCTTTAGGTGTTTTGTTGATCTTTGTTATCAAGTTAAGGAATTTTCCTTTTATTCCTTGTTTGCTGAGTCTTTTTAATCATAAACAGGTGATGGATTCTACTAAATGTTTTTGGATCTTTTGATATTGTCATATGATTTTTATATTCCAGTCTTTTGATGTGGTGATTAATTTATTCCCAATGTTAAACCAGAGTTATAAATCCTGCTTAGTGATGGTATAAAATTCGTTCTATGCATTGTTAAATTTAGTTTGCCAATATTTTGTTGATTTTTATATCTATTTTAATAAAACATATTTCCCTTTAGTTTTTCTTTATTGTAACATCTTTATCTGATGTTGGTGTTAGAGTAATGCTTGCCAAATAGAATGAGTGAGGAAGTATTCTGCTTATTTTTTCTGGAAGAGATTATAGGAAATTGGCATCACTTTCCTTAAATCTTTGATAATATTCACCAGCAAGCCCATTTGGACTTGGTGTTCCCTTTAAAAAAAGTTATTGATTATTAATGCATTTTCTTTACTAGATAGGGGCCTATTTAGGTTGTCAATTTCTCCTTGTGTGAATTTTTGGCCATTTTTTTTTCTTTTAAAAAATTGGTCCACTTTATCAAAATTATCAAATTTATGGGCACAGAGTTGTTCATAATGTTCCTTTATTATCTTTATTATCTTTTTAATGTACATGGTAGTAGTGATGGTCTTTCCTTCATTTCTGATATCGGTCACTTGTGTCTTCTCTCTTTTTCTTTTGGTTAACCTGAATAAAGGTTTATAAGTTTTATTGTTCTTTTTAAACAACCAGCTTTTGATTTCAATGATTTTTCTTAATTTCTTCCTAAGTTTAATTTTCTTGATTTCTGCCCTAATTTTTATTTTATCCTTTTCTGCTTGCTTTAGATTTTAATTGTTCTTTTTTCTTTAGTTTCCTAAGATGAAAGCTTAGCTTATTGATTTTAGATCCCCCCTTTTTAAATATATGTATTTAGTGGTGCAAAATCCTTCCAAGCACTGCTTTCACTGTATATCATAAATTTTGATATATTCTGCTTTCACTTTCTTTTACTTCAGAATATTTTAAATTTCTCTTAGTTGATTTCTTATCTGACTCATGTGTTATTTAGAAGTGTGTTGCTTAGCTTCCAAATAATAAGAATTTTCCAGCTATCTTTCTACTATCAATTTCTAGTTTAATTACATTGTGGCCTGAGCACATACTTTGTATAAATTCTGTTCTTTTAAGTTAATAAAGTGTGTCTTATGGCACAAAATATTGTTTATCATGATGAATGTTCTATGTTTCAGAAAGCAAATAATAAAATGGCAGATGTAACTCCTAATATATCGATGATTACTTTAAATATAAATGTTCTCAATACACCAGTTAAAAAGTAGAGATTGACCAAGTAGCTAAATGCACACATACACACACACACACACACCAATTATATCCTGTTTATGAGAAACTCACTTCAAATTCAATAACATAAGTGGTTGAAAGTAAAAGGATTGCAAAAGATATTCAATGCAAACAGTAATTTAAAAAAGCAGGAGTTGCTATATTAATATCTAATAATGTAGACTTCAGAGCAAAGAGCAAGACTAAAGGCAAAGGGGACATTACATAGAGATGGAAAGATCGATCCACCAGAAAGACATAACAAACCTAAACCTGTATACAAATAATAAAAGGGCCTAAGATACACGAAAGGAAAGTGATAAAGCTGAAAGCAGAAATAGGCAAATCCACAGTTATGGCTGGAGACTTCAATTTTTTCCTCTCAGCAACTGATAGAACAATAAACTGAAAATCAGTGTGGGTACAGAAGATCTGATTAACACAATCAACCAACAGGATCTAATTGGCATTTACACAACATTCCACACACAACTGCATAATATGCATTTTGTTGACGCACCCATGGAACATTCACCAAGACTGACTGTATTCTTGGTATATAGTCATTCTTGGTTGGCAAGTAACAACAACTTTTTAAAAACTGAAATAATACAGTGTGTTCTCTGACCACAATAGAATCAAACTAGAGATCCATGACAGACGGGTAACATGAAATTTCTAAATACTTGCAAATAAAATAACACACTTCTAAATAATTCATGGGTCAAAGAATAAGTCTTGAAGGAAAAATGTTAAAAATAGAACTGAATGATAAATGAAAATGAAAATGCAGCATAGGAAGCTATATAGAATACAGCTGAAAGAGTATTGAGAAGAAAATTTTTAGCAATTAATGATTACATTAGAAATAAGAAAATCTCTAAAATCAGTCATCTTTCTACCTCAAAAAGCTAAAAAAAAGGAAAAGTAAAATAAACCCAAAGGAAGCAGAAGAAAACAAGAAAGTCATTTCGAAATCGAAAATAGGAAAACAAAAAGAAAACTAATAAAACAAAGCTGGCTGCTTGAAAAATCAATAAAATCGATGTGTCTAGCAAGAATAACAAAAATAAGAAGAGAGAAGACGCAAATCATCAATGTCAGGAGTGAAATGTGATATGTCACCACAGATCCCACAGCCATTAAAAAGATAATAAAAGAATACTGTGAACAACTTTGTGCTCATAAATTTGATAACTTAAAGGAAAGAAATTTCTTTACCCGAAATGACATAGATAATCTAAATAGTTCTACAATCATTAAAATAATTGACATTGTTATTTAAAATCTCCTAAAAGTAGAATTACCCATTTTTTTAAAATATAGATATATTTGATTACCTATTTAATTGTGGTTTTTCAGGGGCAAGAGATCTCAGATGTTGACTGTAATTTTTTTCCCATAAGTTAAGGAAATCGGGCTTTCAGTTTACTAAATTTTTGAGTGAATTTCATTGGTAAACATAGTGATGGCTGTTTAAAGAGAGCCATGACTCACTTCACCAGTTACAGTAACATAATTTCCCTTTCTGCACTTAGTTTTTTACATTATGTAAAAGTCAAACATGCTATTTTTAATTTCACTTTTTTTCACAATGATACTTTCGCAGATTTTCTCATCACCCGCTGCCTCAATTCTTCACATGACCCTTCTATGTCACTCTCTTTAACCTCCTCTTTAATTCTCCTCAGGCAGAATTAATTACTCCCTTATCTAGGTCCCCCGAGGACTGAATGCACAGTGTGAGAATTACTTGTCTTCAGGACACCCTTCCCTTTACATGCCTTTGCAGCCTGCCTCCTTGCTGGAGATCTGGTACATGGCAGGCATGCAAT
The DNA here is from genome assembly GCF_000001405.40 of Homo sapiens. NCBI lineage: Eukaryota > Metazoa > Chordata > Mammalia > Primates > Hominidae > Homo > Homo sapiens. Next base: position 260,383 of record NW_025791787.1, read on the forward strand.
GATTTTTGCTGACTTGAAATCTAAATACAGAAGATTGTTTAGGAGTAAGCCAACAACAAAACAGAAAGTGACATCCTCCCCTGATTTTCACCAAGTTGGCTTTTGATTACCAATAGAGAACAAATGAACATCATTCTCTTCAAAAGCAGTTTGTAGGGGAAGGTTATCAATCTTCATAACAATAAAAGCATTTGTTTTGTGAGATTGATGAAAGATTTTGTAAGCAGTTTTGTCACCATGGGGTAAAAATGATCGGTTTCATGGGAATTATATCTGTTGAGCTTATAAAATCTTACTCATTTTTGCACAGGAAGTCCCACTTATATGTTGCTAAAATAATAAAGTTTGTAGATAGGAAATTGAGTAAATTGTGAGTTTGGCCATGGCTGAAATGGAATTAGGGTATTAAATCGTGTGGTTTCAATCCTACCATATTTATTCATTTCCAAACAGTTTGGGGGATTATTTGTTGACAGTCACATAATTAATTATTGGCTGTTATAGTGGCATGCGTTTCCTTGACAAACAAGAGTTTAGTTTAATTCAGAGAGTTAAATCTGCTTTAATATCCAGACACTTGTGGCTGTAGGGTCTCTTTTGGAGACTGAATTACTTAATAATTGGCTCTTGACTTTTTGCAACTGTAATGTCCTCGAAGTATATAATAGCTCCAAACAGTAAGCTTGGGTCCCCAGTACTTGATTTTTAACTGGGTCTACGAGGCAGTCAAGAAGGAGGTGCTGAGGAGAGCCACATCACACACTCAAGGAACCGTTGTGATTCTCCCATCTTGCCCACCCCATGGAAAGAAGGGTCCTCCCTTTTTCGTCTCACTGCTTGAGGTAATGACACCAATTCTATAGTCTAGGATAGACAAAGACTCCCAGAGAAAACAGAAAGAAATAAATGAAACACTTTCTGAAATTTTTCCTCCTGAAATAATATTTTGTTTGTACTTAAAAAAAAGAGAGATGATAACTTATTGCTAAACCTTTAGTGTGTCTACATGGGAGAAGTGACTCAGCAGGTCTTGGGCCAAACTGCGTATTTGTTTAACTTCAATCTCAGGAGAGCCAAGGAGTAAAACCATGGCACTATCTTTGTTGCAACAAAGACTTCTTGCTTGATGAGCATTCTTGGCAAGGGAGCCTTCATATTTTAAAAGGCTGTAACTGTTTATGGCTATCAGCTTATCACTCTAAAACCAAAGGAGGCCTGAGGACAAAGAGTGAGCCAGAGGGGATGTTAAGGGAGGGAGGGTTCTCCAGGAAGCAGAGTCCTAGGCAGTCTGCAGTCTGGACCCATCACACTGCAGAACTGGGCAGGGTGACCAGGCATCTGCAGCTTTCTTGTCTCTGAGCAAGTGAGAGTGCTGGTCCTTGTACACCAGCATCAGAAATGAGAGCAGACAATGGAGGAGGGTGAATGCAAGGGGTGCTCAGGAAGAAGCACAAGCAACACCCTACAGGGGTTGAAGGGAGACCATTTTCTGGGTGGGAATAAGTAGAGATTTATGAAAGAGCCGATATTCACACGTGGCCACAGGATTTTGACAGAGTGGTGGCAGGACCTCCAGGTGGAAGGAACCAGTGAGCCAAGGTGTTGAGTCCTTAGGCAGAGATGATGTCACCCAATATGTATTTTGTAGCAAAATACATATTTGTCCTTTTTGCTTAATGTATGCTGAGTCATTTAACCCTCACAGCGACTCTTACCCCCGCTTCCTTTATTCTCACTCTTCTCCTCTTTTCCCTCTCAAGATCATCTCCTCTCTTCTTCCCTTCCTGTTGGGAAGTCAAGTGGACGGGGTGGATGGGGAGGAAGGAACTGAACAACTCTACGTGGAATGTTCGGGGAAGGACTCTCTGAGGTGGAAATGTTTAAACTCAAACCTGAAGGGTGAGAAAGAACAAGCCAAGCGTGTGGATTGGGAGACAGAGCATATTGCACTTGGGGAGCAGAGAGCCACTGGGGGAGTGAGTGCACGTGGTGAGGTCAGAGAGGGCCAGGGCATCTTGTAGGCCATATGAGGATTCTCCCAAACTGTCTGGGGGTCCCTGGCTTCATGCTGAAAGGGAAGACAAAACCCAGGCAAGTCCCAGGCTGAGAAGGGCAGAGTCAGAAGACAGAGGGCGAAGCTGCCCCTCAGGGGCTGGATGGGGGCTGATGGGTGCCCTTGGAGCTGCCCCTTTCAGGGGTCAGAACTTCCACAGAAGAATTTGGGGGTGGGATACAACTCAGCCCACAGCCATGTCAAATTGATTGGCATTGGTCATCTGCCTTCTTCAGTTGCTTTTATTTTTCTCTTCTGGAGAGCCAAGAGCCTGAAAGGTAGAATTGAGAGCCTAGAGAATCGAGCCCACGACACAGTGAGGATAATTCCTTAAACTTAATTGCATCTCCCAGATGGATTGAAACTGCCTGAACTGGTGCCCCCCATTTTCCCCTTTTGGAACCAGAATGTCTATAATGGCTCTCCTACACTTATACCATCATTGAATTTGGTGGTCAGATTACTTGTTTTCTAGTTTTACAGGGCCACAGATAGACAGGGTCTGTGGCTCAGGGTGTATCATAGCAGAGCCTCACCTGACTGCTCAAGGCGACTGAAATGATGAGATTTTGGACTTGAAGTGGGTGTTCTAATGGAGTGAGATCTTTGTTGTCATGAGACAGGATAGATGCATTTTGCAGATGAGAGAGAGGAATGTGGTCAGAGGGTAAACTATAGCAGACAAAATTTTTGCCTCCCCCATTTTAGACCTGCCTTTTAATGGACTTGCTTAGTCATTGGGGTTAACTATGAGCAAACACAGTCCCCAGTACAGCAGAACAGAGAAACAACAATGTACCAGGTTAGATCAGAGCAAAGGAATGTTTGAAAACTGGAAACATCTCATATTTAGAAAACAAGAAGTGGGCAAGAAACCAGAGTGTCTGGGGAGCCTATAAGTGCATATGAAAAAGTATGGGCCCACGTTGGGCATGGTGGCGCATGCCTATAATCCCAGGAGGCTGAGGTGGGAGATCGGGTGAATCCAGGATTTCAAGGCTTAAGTGAGCTCTGATTGTGCCACTGCACTCCAGCCTGGATGACAGAGTGAGACCCTGCCTCAAAAAAAAAAAAAAAAAAAAAGGCACAAATGGAAGGTGTTTGTATCAACAGGGCCAGGGCCATGGGCTCTTGGAGTGCCAAGTGTCTCAGACGCAGCATCAATCGTCAGCAGTAGTTGTGGTTCCTCCTTCTGCGTGGTCACCTGTGGAGGGCCTGCAGTGAGTGTGCATGTGTGTGTGTGCATGTGTACGGGGCATAACACTGGTGGCAAAACATCAGGGAAAATCTGGGGCTTCTGTGTTCAAGAAATTAGTTTTATTGTAATTGTACAGAGATAAAATCCCTACTTTCACAGAGTATTCTTACGCACTACTTTCTTTTCTTGGAAATTTTGGGGGGAAAGACTAACAATACATGTTTCTTAGCCGTGGCCTTTCCTAATTTCCAAGAGCTGAATCTCATCCTGCTAAGGTCTCCCTGAAACCAGACTGCTCTGCACCCTCCTCCGCACTCCTCCCCACGGCATGACAGTTACTGCCCATCTTCTGAGATAACTTCAAGGCAACTATGGCAGCTTGTTTTATTTTCTCTTCCTGCAACTCTCTCTGATTCTCTCTTTCAGCATTTAAGGATTGTCTTACTCTAATCAGCAACTCCACCAGGAACCTTTTGTGTTTTTTCGCTCTGTTTCTCCCCCACTATTTGGGGCCAGAGCCCTCTGAGCCTCACATAATGAAATTCAGGTCGCTGTGCAGAAAATATTGAGCACAGAGAAACAAACCCCAGGAGGCAAACTCTGAGGCCGGAAGGTAGAATTAGGAGCAGCCAAAAAGGACAGCAGGCGAGTTCAACCGGATGCATGATCATTTCCTGTTCTTAAAATTCCCTTTAATATCCCCAGCCCAGCCCGCTGAGTCGGTGAGAAGCTGGGGAGGAAGAGCCCTGGCTGGGGTCAGGGGCCCAGGCTGCAGGCCCAGCTGGTGGCTCGCTAGTGAGGCCCTGGGGAGACCTCTCAGGCCTGTCTTCAAGTCAGTAAGGAGGGGCCAGTCCTGCAGCTCTACCCTCAGAGCATGGGTGGTGGTGGTGGGGTGTGTGTGTGTGTGTAAGGCAGGTCTGGCTCCAAGCATCAGGAAGTGAGAACTGGGGAGAGATGTCTTTTGTGGGGTTCACACCCTCCCCAGCCGGGTTCTCCCACTCTCCTGGAAGGAACGGGCAGCTAACACCTCAGAGCTCCTGGAACAGGCAGGGGATGCCCACCTCCTTATCTCAGGGAGTAACCTGTGCACAGTCCTGGGAACAGGCACGGTCATCTTAGTGATAGTGACAGTGTGGCCTGGCCTGCAGCAGTGAGTTCTGCACACTTCATTGCGGGGAAGCTGGATGGTAGAAAGTGGAGACATTCAACCAAGATGACGCAGTTGTTTGCAGCCACATGTAGAATTGACGCCTGTCTGAAAACCTCCCCACCATTTGGCCACGATCAGTGCTGACCCTCACTCTGTCCCTGGGCTGTGGCTGACACACACAGGGTCACTGCCAATTGCTCAGGGCTCCTGTCTCTCAATACATGTATTTTCACAAAAAGGACACTCACTAAAGTGATGTCGAGAGCCATCTTGAAGAGGAAGAATAAAAGACAAATAGGCTGGGCGTGGTGGCTCACGCCTGTAATCCCAGCACTTTGGGAGGTTGAGGCGGGCAGATCACGAGGTCAGGAGATTGAGACCATCCTGGCCAACATGGTGAAATGCTGTCTCTACTAAAAATACAAAAAATTAGCTGGGTGTGGTGGCAGGCACCTGTAGTCCCAGCTACTTGGGAGGCTGAGGCAGGAGAATTGCTTGAACCTGGGAAGCAGAGCTTGCAGTGAGCAGAGATTGCAGCACTGCACTCCAGCCTGGGCGACAGAGTGAGACTCTGTCTCAAAAAAAAAAAAAAAAAGACCAATAGTGGAACAGTGGAGTAGAACATGGGTAAAGGGAAGTCCTAACCTGTGCCTCTTAATATCTGGTGTCACTGAGAATATTCATCCTCAGGCTTCTTTTGAACCTATCTCCTTGGCCACATGGAATAGATAAATGAGAGATCAGAGGCTTCTGCTGGACTATGAGTCCACCCCTCTCCCAGGCTTGCTCCCTCCAGCCCTGGGCCTGGATGCCAAGTTCCCTGGGGACATGGATGCCACCCACCAGGATGGGACCATTGGGAGTTTCCTCCAAGAGGGTGGAATATGACCATTGTTCCTGACATTGCTCACTTTAATTAGTCCACTAGATGCTCCAATCCTTGAAGGAAACCATGTTTCATCTCCAGTTTACACACAAGGAACCTGAGGCTTAGAGAGCTCTGACTTTAGGAAGTTACAGGTAAACTTTAGAGCCCACGTTCCCTAACTTTGAGCCCATGGACTCCTCATTTGGAGTTCTCAGGCATAGGGTGGAGAGAGGTGTAGACAAAACCCCAGGGTCATGCTTGATCTGCTGTGCAACATGTTCAGCTGCTCCTGGATAAGTGCAAGGTGTTTATTTATTTATTTATTTTTGAGATGGAGTCTCTCCCTGTCGCCCAGGCTGGAGTGCAGTGGCGTGATCTCGGCTCACTGCAAGCTCCGCCTCCCAGGTTCAAGCAATTCTCCTGCCTCAGCCTCCGTATGAGTAGCTGGGACTACAGGCGCCCACCACCACGCCCGGCTAATTTTTTGCATTTTTAGTAGAGACAGGGTTTCACCGTGTTAGCCAGGATGGTCTCGATCTCCTGACCTCGTGATCCACCCGCCTCGGCCTCCCAAAGTGCTGGGATTACAGGCGTGAGCCACCGCGCCCGGCTGCAAGGTGTTTATTAAAAGGATTCCTGCCTATTAACGAAGACTTATTTTTCACACTTTTATTTCAAAACTTGTTTTTGTCCTTTTTATGTTTCCTAATTGTTAAGAAGTGGCTTTATTTCTCAATTTGAGACATCTTTCTCAACCACAGTGTTTCTTTTTGATATTGATAATTAACTTTTTTTGGCCTGTATTTAATGTTGGAAGGCAAATACTATGTCCCAAACTACACTTTAGAAAATGACGATGGTAAACTTCATCTTTTCACATTTATTGATTACCCAATTATCACTTGGATGCTGCTTTACAGCTCAGATCTTATAATTTCACTTACTCCTCATAAGGACCTCATCAGTGGCTATTATTATTATTATTATTTCCATGAGGGCTCAAGAGCTGATAAGTAATTTGTCCCAAAACCATAGAGCTGGCCCCTAAGCCCAGAATTACAGGCCTGTGTCCATCTCATTCAGCCAGTGTCCCCAAGAACAACCTGCATCTGTCTGCATCAGAACCACCAGAGGTGCTGACTAAAGAATGACGCATATTTACCACTCTACCTGCCTCAGCTACAAAGGACCACCACTCCTATAACTTCAGATCTCCAGGGAGGGGGTTGGAGGAGGCTTTTTAAAAACCTTCACCTCATTTATTTACTTGAAGTACACAAAACAGTAGAGAGAACAATACAATCAAGTGCGTTTTACCTAGCAAACTGCCAGCTTTACCAAATAGAAATGCAGGACATTCAGTTAAGTTTGAATTTCAGGTAAAAAATGGATGACTTTTTAATAAAAATATAACGTCACGTGGGACAATACTTATACCGAAACATCACTGTTTTCCTGGCCATCCAATTTTCACCCTCACTCTGCTCTCTCCCCAGTCCTGGCTTATTTTGAAGCCAATCTCAAAATTCCTAGCATTTCATCTTAAACATGTCAGAATACCACCCTAAAATGTAAGACAATTTTTTTTTAAGAAACACAAACACAGTACCATTATTGCACCTGAAAAACACAACAATAATTCCTTAATACCTAGTCAATGTCTAGTTATCTGGATAAAATAAAATGGTATTTTATAGGTTGTTTGTTGAATCAAAATCCAAATAAGGCTCTTTCATTGTTAATCTATAGTTCTTCTCTCTGCCTGTCTCTGCATACACTTGTTGAGACAACAGGTCATTTATCCTCTCAGGATAGAGTAGCTCTCAGGGTGAATCATGCTTTCTTTTATCAGTTTTGCATCCAGGTGTTGTCATTATCATGTTCCTCTGTCCCACATATTTCCTGTTAGTTCGTAGTTAGATCCAATTAGATAGATCTAGTTAGATCTAGAGGCTTCATCTCCTTCAGGTTTCAATTTTTATTAAGAATATAACCTGGGGGGTGTGTCCATTTAGCAAGAGATACAGAATGGTTGTCTCTTTTTTAGAGATATTAGCAACTGTTGATAATCAATATCTACAGTCATAGTTCTTTAGGTGATCCTGATACATAGTGAGAATAAAAACCATTGCACTTTTCCACATTGCTCAGAGCAGGGCGGCTATGCCTATTGCTTTTTTTTTTTTTTTTTAATTTACTTTTTTAAATGAGCAGTTTCTGTGCTAAGAGGAACTATCTCTGGTCCACAGCCTCACAGGGTTCCCAGAATGAAGTATCCACCCTCCATCGTTCCTGAGCCTGGCCTTTCTCCTGGAGTACTGGCAATAACAGACTCCCTTACTCCTTGCAGCACTGTCCAGATGGTTGATAGCCAGATGTTGAGTGGATTTCTTTTTGAATGGATTTCTCTTTGAATGGATTTCTCTTCAAATGACAGGGGAGTCCTGCTAGTTCAGCATTCTGTTGTATTCAGATGCTCAGTTGACACCTCCCGTCATAGTGTGTGGTAAACTCTTATGAGCCCTCCCTAGCTGTTGAGTGATAACTATATAACCTATGGCCTGAAGTTGGGTTGGCCCAAGGACAAAACTGCTGGATGAGTCACAGTGAGGCCTTATCTTAAATGTGTCCCAAAAAAGAGAAGAAATGAGGACAGGCGGAAACTGTGTGAGTGGGAGGGAGACAGGGCACAGCTGAGGGGCAAAGGCGGCAGGCAGTAATAAGCAACAGAAGAGGGATGAAAGAAGACAGTTATCCAGAAGACTTTTTGGCCTATTTTCTTATGTGTGGGTAAAACACAGCAAGTGGGGCTTGCAAAACAATATTGCCACTGAAAACAGGACGCTGTCTCCATGTGTATGCACAAGGAACCAGATTGCATGTTCTATCTGCCAGCAGGAGGCCCCCTCCACAGGCTCCTGCTGTCTCTGCATTGTTCGGTGAGTCCTTGGAGTAAGCTGCCTGGGAAACAGGAGGCTTCGGCAGACCAGAGCTGGATGGCTGCTGATCAAAGAGGACTTGTGAAGCTACATCTTGTGTGTTATCCTCACTGTGAAGGTCATAGCAGGCTGCACCCAGCATTAGACTGCCCAGGACAATAGAGGAGACTTTATAAAACGTGTGGGTGGGCCAGGTGTGGTGGCTCACGCCTGTAATCCCAGCACTTTGGGAGGCTGAGGTGGGTGGATCACGAGTTCAGGAGTTCAAAACCAGCCTGGCCAAGATGATGAAACCTGGTCTCTACTAAAAATACAGAAAATTAGCCAGGCGTGGTGGCAGGGACCTGTAATCCCAGCTACTCAGGAGGGTGAGGCAGAGAATTGCTTGAACCCAGGAGGCGGAGGTTGCAGTGGGCCAAGTTTGCTCCATTGCACTCCAGCCTGGGCAACAAGAGTGAAACTCCTTCTCAAAACAAAAAAACAAAAAACAAAAAAGTGTGTGGGTGAAGGAGCAGTGCGGCAAGGGGCAGCTGCTGGAAATGAAGAATGGGGAAGGGAAGAGTGGAGGGGAAGACCCCAACCACTGGCTGAGCAAGTCCAGCTTCCTTCTGCTGTGTGGTCTGCAAGATGCACTCTCCTTTTTAAATCCCAACAAAACGCCCATCCCTTTCTAGCATGGTCCGACTGGCTCATTCTTGTTTGGAGGATGAGACCCAGGCTGCGACTGGATTTACAGTGGGCCTGGGGGCAGGAAGAGGCTAGCCCTGTTTTCACAAATGGACAAGAGCGTAAAGAGGCATGAATGGCCACCAACAGTGAACAATGTTTCTGTGCGGATGGTTTCCATCAAAAGGTAGCTTCATTGGGGAATGCCTGCACAGAGGTACCTAATTAGGGATTCCGAGTACTTTTGTGTTTTCATGTCTTTCAAATTAGACTCAGAGAACAAACCGATGACTCTGAACACAATTGACTGCTTTGCTGACACAACAAATAATGGCTTGAATAGTGAAAATTCCAAACCAGGTCTGTGGCCAACCTTTTTGTAACAAAAAGATGACTCAAGTTTGGAAATAGTCACAGCGTCAGTTGTCTGATTGATGGCTGAAGAATGGGAGACAGCAAGGGGTGCTTCACATGCTATTTTCCTCTTTACTTTTCCCTAATTCTTTTATTTTTCTCTCCCAAATAGGAGATTTGCTGGGCTTGATATTTTTACAAAAGAAGAAAATGGAGGAGGAGGGAGAGGTTTAAAGGGGCCACTGTCATTTCACACCCCCATCCTGACCTGCAGCCCTATTTGTCTCCTCTAAGCCTCTTTTCTCACGTCAGTAGGAGGCTGTTTCTCTTCTCTATAAGGGGCTTTTCCTGTTATAACTAAAAGCGAAGGTCCCACGTTCACCACATTCTCCAGTGAGCTGCCAGTGACCAGGGTCTACTGTGCGGCTCCTGGAGGAGGCAGGACTGGCCTGTTGTCATAGACCCCGACTGCTCCCCAGGAAAAAGAGGTAGTGTGGGAGGGGAGTCACTGGTGTGTGTAGTTAGCAGTGGTGGGGAGAGACTTCCTCCCATGGGGGAGTAAAGGGGGATTCGGTTTTAATCTCCTCTTCCTCAATCAGTTGGTGAGAGAGGGATTCCCTCCACTTGGTTAGGCAGATGGACGAATACAGCACACCCAGTGCTGGGCTGGTCAGATGAACAGCATGTAGAATCAAGCCCAGGGGAGGAGGATACCACAGGCCATGTGGGGCCACATGGGGGCTGCACTTGGGAACAGCATGAATAGCCAGGGGCTGTGGAAGGCAAGCTCTGTAGTAACAAGAGAGGGAGCTGCCTCTTGGTTCCAGGGTGAAGTTGTGATTGGTTTTTGTAATAATTCTTCAGGCTGGCAGAGAACCAAAACCTGCTATTCAGGGATAGGCAGGTCACCTGCCATTTGATGAGAAGGTTGTTTGCCAGGAGGTAAGCTGGACACCTCACTGCTGACTTGGAGACTTGTGGTGGTGAGTCCTCAGGCCCTGCCAGAGCTACCATCCTGGGAGGATGCAGACAGGGATCCTTGGGGAGCCTGAGTGCTGTCTCTGCACAGCTCTGCGCTGCTCTCAGAAAGTGCAGAAGAGACCTCAGTGGTTCCTGTCACCTTACATGAAGGGACACAGAAGTCAGCAGAGCACTGTAGGCCAAGGGACTGCCCAGTGGCCAGAGCAAGTCACAGCCCAACCAACGTGGAATAGGACTGAAGAGAGATGTGAGTGTCCCCGAAGGGGCCCGGTCCTCAGTGACTGCGGGTCAGGATGGCATGGATGGTTTGTATTATGCAAGGGCTCCATGCATATCCTAGATCCTAGTAACAGACGCAAATGTACCAGCTTGAGTCATAGATCTTCTTTTTCTTTTGCATGTCATGAAGTCCAGGGGTAGGTTGCTCAGGGTAAGAGTGTGGCTCCAGGATGTTGGCAGAGAGCCACAAGATGGCTGAACCTTCTCCACAGCCCATGCCCCCTCAAAGAAGGAGGAAACGGCAAAGTGCAAAGGCCAGTGCCAGCAGAAGACTCCTTTGTAGTAACAAGAGGGAAAATAGTCATGGAGTCACCATACGTATTATTGGTCACATATAGTCACATGGCTGCTCTTATCTGCAAAGAAGGCTATAAAATATTGTTTCAAGTTCATACACTGCCAACTCCTACAGGACTAAGGTTCTGTAATTAAGGAAGAAGGAGAACAAGACATACGCAGAACTGCAACTGGGCCTTTGCCAGTGGGGAGAAATGCTGCTGGGTGGTGCTCAGAGAAACAGGATGCTGATGGCAAGGAGAACATCCCTCCCCATCCACCAGCCCTGCAGGTATCCTGAGGTTGCAGGACCAAGGACAGAGGGATCCACAGTGGAACCTAGGTATGGTAATTGACCTCTATTTCAGATGGAATAAGAGAGGAAATGGTGGCCATCTTGGAACGTGGGATGACATCCCCTCCTCTGCTATGGTGTTGGGAATGACTTGTGGGGTGCAGCCGCCAACTGAATAGTGAACAGGGAGCTTCTACCAATGGCTAACCCCGTCAATTTCCAGAGCACCAGGGAGCAAATGGCCTCACAAAGCCCCTGGAAACTCGTGCCTGGAAATACAGAAAGTGGTAGTTTTTATGCCAACATCAAATCAAGCAAATTGAGAGTTATGATTAGATAAGAGAAATGGTGGGGTCTAATTCACACACTATCACATGCTGCCACATCTTGCATGTGGATACAGCAAATGGGTTTTGCAGACTGATCCTGGCTGGTGGTAGCACCCAATGTTTATGCTCTGAGTACTGCATATAATGTTGTGTAATCATTTCTGCTAACGTTCCGAACAAAACTTTGTAATAAGACGGCTTCTGCGTATGTTATACACTACAGAAATGCTGGAAAGGTGGAGGTGAGGAGATATGAGGAACTTGGACATATTTCATTTAAATAATTACCTGGGAGAAATAAAAATCTGTAAAAATTGTGATGTTGTATGATTAATCAGTCAACTCCCCACCCCCCACATCTGAGTGGTTTTGCCTCTGGGATTCTGTTAGCACCAGGAGGTCCAAGGCGTCCTCTCCATCTAAAGTGAGCTAAAAACCTAGTAGAGATGTGCTGCCCACTAGAAAAAGACTATGAAACAAACATCCTAGAGGCTCAAACAAGTAAATACTACTAAAAGTACAACTCGTGGTATGTTTTTTCTATTCATCCCCAGATCTTTCTTAAGAAACGAAAGAAAAAAAACACACCGACAATTGAGATCAAGTACAACCCTACGGTTTGGAAGTAACACAAAGGGGTCATTGCTGAACAGCTCTGAATGCTCTGAACAGGCACCCAGACTGGGTGAGCACAGTGTGAAACAGCCCATCAGGCTCAACCTGCCCCAAAGGGTGGGGTTCCAAGGGCCCCGTGGCTATGTTGCTCAGGGACTGACCACTGTCCCTGATGCTGGTGAGTCTCAGGAGGTGAGGACAGACACTGAAGGTGGGAGTGGGCAGAGGGGAAACGGGTGGTCCTAGGAAAGCAAGCTGTGTGATCGCCCTGGATGTTTCTGAATCCTGGTTTTCAGTTCCATCTCAGTAACAGCACGTCCACGTGACATCCACAGAACCTTCTGTTTTGTCAGAGGGCTGCCTGTCTCTGATCTTGTGTCTTCACTGACATGGCAAAGCTGCCTTCCAGGCCCAAATGAGCAGGTTCTTAGGGGGTCTCCCATCTTACCATGGGTGATGCTTCCTTCCATTTAAATTAATTTGCATATCTGAACTACATTTAAAATCCTCTGGACCTAAACCCACTTGTGCATGTGGGCATGTGTGTTTTCTCTCCCCCTCTCTTTTTACCCCTTGGTCTGACCTCCCTCTTGTGGGGTCAAACATGTCTTTGGAAAGTCCAGTGAAGCCCTGCCCTGACTTGCTCCCTTTCATATCCGAGTGACATCAGCTAATGACATTTCAGATAAATGGATGGCTTCTCAGCAGAAGGGCGACATTCTGTGTGAGCTCGAGCTGAAGTGTGAGGGTGAAATACTTTGTGAAGGACGGCATACTTGGCTAGTTTCTAGTTTTCTCCTCCAAACTGACAGGCTTGGCTAAGCTCCTGTGAGAGCCTGTCTTAAAGGCAAAGGAAAAAAGTGGTGTACGGAAAGCGTGGCTGCAGAGTGGTCCCCTCACACGTGACAGGTCAGCAATGGACATGGGGAAACGTGCCTACACTTAATAGCAACTTGTTTTCAAAATCAAAAATGAGTTGATATGTAATTGGTCAATATGGAAACTTCAGGACTTGCTGCAGTCTTCCTAACCACCATTTAAAATTCTGTATTTTTAACTCAGGCTGATAGTAATCAAGCATCTCTCTCTGTGTGCCGTTTGCATACACACCCCAGCCCTGTGCTACAGCAGCAGCAGTCAGCCCCCTCTTCCAGGCTTTTTCTTTCTTTTATCTAAAGAGAAAGCTGTGGCTGTCAGTGAATGGGAAGGTGGCTCCCTACTCTGAGAGCCAGGTAGGAAGTGGAGCTCACCTTCCTGATAGCACGCTGGGGAAGGGCTAGGAAACATTTCCTACATTTTGTTGAATATTGTTTATATTTGTTGCCCCCATTTTTTTCTCTACTCCTTTTTTTTCTCTATCTGTTACACCAACTCCATCTTGGCTTTGTCTCCACCTCGTCACCAGACTCTTCTTGTCAAGGTTATCCGAGATCTCCACTTTGCTCAATCCAGTGTCCAAGTCCTGGCTGCTATGGGCTCGACCTGTCACATGTATGATGGAGCTGACTGCTCTGTGCTTGAGGCACCCCTCCCTTTTTCCTGTGCACAGCTCTCCTCTCTCAGGGGCCACTCTCGAATGGTCCAGAGCTTGCCCTCAGAGGGTTATTTTTCTCTTCTATTCACCCTCACTCCCTAGGTCCTCGCTTCTGGTCTCACAGCTTTTCACACCAACTGTATGCTGATGATGTCCAAATCTTTATTTACAGCCCAACCTCTCTCCTAAACTTCCTCCTTGATGGCTCCGCCAGGAAGTCTGCCAGGGGCCTCAAGCTTAGTCCATCCAGACTGATCCCATTTATTCATCTGATTATCCTGCAGTGCCATCATCTTAGGAAATTGCTACTCCCTCCTTCCAGTAACCAAGGCAAATACACAAGGCTTGTCTTTCTCTCATATCCCACTGCCAAAGCTTTAGCAAAGTCTTTGAGTCTACCTTGAAAATATACACAGAATCTGACCACTTGTCACCACCTGCACGTCAATAGCCATGTCCAAGGTGCTACCACCTCTTGCTGGGATTATTTCTACAGCTCCTAATTGGCATCCCAATTCCTGCCACGGCCCTTCCATAGAACATTCTCAATACAGCCTCCAAAGACAATCTTTTAAAGCCTAAGTCAGACCACATAACCTCCTCCCCGAGGCTTTCCCATGATGCTCCATTTCACTCTGAGTAAAAGCCAAAACCTACAAAGTGGCCTCCAGGACAACCTGTGCTTATCCCTGTTACTGCTTCCAACTCATGTCCAGCTACTTGCACCCTCACCCAATTCTCCCTGCCTATTGGCCCCTCTCTGTTCCTTGGGCACATGAGATCCAAGCTTACTTCTAGAACTTCACCCTTGCTGACCCCTCTCCCTGGAAGATTCTTCCACCAGTTGATCTCAAGTCCTCCAGTCTCTCCTTAAATAGCACTGCTTCAGCAGAACCTTCCCTGGTGCTAACGGAAAGCACCCCACCACCTCCCATAAACACACACACTCAGCAGTATTGTCCCCTTCATCCCATTTAGTTTTTCCATCTGCATATCACCACTTGTCATCTGCATGTGAACTTGCTCAGTTTTTTTAAATGGTCATTTTATCTCCTGATTTCCACAAAGACAAGGACTTTGATTTGTTCACTCATCTGTCTCTAGTACCCAGAACAATGCTTTACAAAGATCAGACTCAGAAATATTTTTTGAATGAATTAGCTAATTCGAACCTTGATTAATATTCTTTTGGGGCCAGGCATGGTGGCTCACGAGTATAATCCCAGCACTTTGGGAGGCCGAGGTGGGTGGATCACTTGAGGTCAGGAGTTCAAGACCAGCCTGGCCAATATGGCAAAACCCCATTTCTACTAAAAATATAAAAATTAGCTGGGCAAGGTGGCACACGTCTGTGACCCCAGATACTTGGGAGGCTGAGGCAGGAGAATGGCTAGAACCCAGGAGGCAGAGGTTGCAGTGAGCTGAGATTGCATGCTACTGCACTCCAGCCTGGGCAACAGAGTGAGACTCTGTCTTCAAAAAAAAAATTCTTTTGGTAGCATGCATATTTTTATGTGACCAATTTTGTTACCACAAAGTTTAAAAAGAGCTAGAGAACAGCCTTCAAGAGGAGACTGCTGTCCATATACTGCCAGGTCCTATGCTTGGCATGGACACTGTGGGTGGGAAAGAGGTAGATCTTCCGAGTGTCTCCCGACAATGATACCCTGTACATCACCCACATCAGGGCTGGTCCTTTGCTCTATTTGGGCCTGAAATGACCTGGAGGCCACACTGGGCAGGCTACTTATGGGTGGACAGCTGGTCTACCAGAGGAATCTGGTAGCCTCCTTAATGCTCAGGTTTAGATCTCCAATCTCCCAAATCCTACATTAATGAGAAGTAACTTTTGGCAATTCAGATCCTGAAAGTGTAAGTTAGAAAAACCAATAGTTTATTGGCCCCAATTCCCACTTCAACCTTTCCTGTTTACAAAAAGAAGGCTAGAGAATTGATCATTCATGATGTGAGTACTTTTCACTTTTTAGAGAACAAGAACAAAATTGCTGAGGGGGTTTTCAGAGCTTTTTAATGATGGAGTTGTGTTTAAAAGATACAGGATTAAAATTGTGGAGGTCTCTACTGGTCTTATCTTGGGCATTTTGGGCATCAAGATAAATTATCATAGTAGTAGACTATAGCCCATTGAAGGAAATAGGCCCCCATGAGTCCACCCTGATATAAATGAATGAGTAAATGGAAAAAAGAGAAGCCTCTCCCTTAAGTAGAATGCTGACTAATGCATGCAAAAGGAATGATGGAATTACAAAATTATCACTTGGAAATCACCAAAAGGGTGGTGATTCAGGGAGAAGTCATTACTAGGTGTTGTGGCTAGTAAGTGGGAGTTGACGAGAAAAGGGTAGAGTTGTAGTCTCAGTACATCATCCACAACATAATCATCAATTGCAAAGGAGAAATGCTGACTTTGCTGAGGAGAGGACTGGCAGGCTCTGAGGTGATGAAGGCGACCCTCTGCAGGAGTGGGAAGTGCCCGCATCATGTGCACTGAGCACTGCATGGTTTCCATCATGGAGACCTGGCCTGAGTCTGTTGTGAGGACATACCATGCCTCAGTTTCTCTAAAACTACCAAGGACATGAGAGACAGAGAAGGGGCAAGGAACTGCTCCAGACTGAAGGAGACTGAAAAGACAGGACAACTGCATATGGCGTGCAAACCTGGATTGAATTATATGCCAGAAAGGAAGTAGAGATGGTGCTGGGAAAGCTGGCACAATGGGGATGGTGTCTGTGGGTTGGATGCAAACGTATTGGTGTGGGTTTCTCAATTAGAGGAGTTGTGCAGTGTTTATGTAGGAGAGTGTCTTTGGGGAAAACACACTGCAGTATCTAGGGGTATCTGCAGCATGCTCACAAATGGTTCCAAAACAGATGAGTGATTTATGATTATAGATGGATAGAAGAAAGTGTGATGGTGAAAATGATGGTAAAATTTAAGCCATCATAGGAGAAATGGGATTTTTAAAAAATATTATTCTGTTAACTTTTTTGTAAGTTTGATCTATTCCAAAATATGTCATTAAAAGTACAGAAATGCTGGGATAAATAGTATCCTGATAGAATGAGATAATGAGCTTTCTATCATTATTAGGCAAAAATTTAATTAGCCACTAGCAGAATCTACTCTCTCAGGTTAATTATAGTGGAAGTATCCCAAAAATGGAAACGAGAGTTACTCAGTTTTCAATCAGGGTGACAGAGTCACAAAACTCTATGACCCACAGCAAAGCAGTGTTCATTCACCAGGAATTTCCCAGGGAGACCTGAACATCTCTTTATTTCATTTTAAATTTTAAAATAAACATCTTTTCACCTTGAAAGTCCTTAAAGAAAACTTAAAATATACTGAAAAGTAGGGAAAAAGCACAGAGAAAACCTAAATACAGCTCTTGTTAATATTTTGGTCCATTTTCTTCCAATTTTTTTGAAGCAGAATTTTGCTTTTTTCTCTTTAAGGACAAGTCTAATTGTATTTATGTACCTTTTTATCCTCTGTGTCTTTCTCTTAGCATCTCAAGCATTTTCCCATGTTGTTATGTAGTCTTTCTCAACAACTTTATTGGCCAATAATACTCCATCAGGTACAGGTGCCTGCTGGGAGTCTCTTAGCCCTGCCCTGTGGATGGCAGAGGAGGAAGTGGTCAGGCCTTTGTCAAGCTTTTGAGTCAGCCCACCTGGGCCTTCTGGGTCCAAGACAATCCCTTTTGCAACTAAGTCAACTTTTCTAGAATCTCCCTGTTACTTACAATCCAAAGCATTCTATCTGCTTCAGTGGGCTCCTGAATTTTTGAATTTTGTCTGGAGTGATAAAAGAGCTCACAGTTCAGAAGTTGTAAGTAATTTGTCAGTGACAGAAGAACTCATGGCTTGGAGAAGACAGGAAAGCATTACCCTGCCAGGAAATGTTCTTATTCATACCACAGTGTGAGGCAATGGAAGCAAACATTCTCATTTGACTTGGGAAAGCTTTCAACTTTCATCCACCCACACCCAGGACCTTTCACTTATGAATAACAAGTGCCTTTGGGGTTGGTTTGGGTGTGTGGATTTTGAGGATGCTCTGTGCTCCTTTAGGCAGCAGGGAGTTTTTCCAGATGAGGAAGCCTGCAGCCTTTCCCTCCTGAATGTTCTCCCTTCAAGAAGCAGACAACTAATGACGCCTTCCTCACGCCTGTTGCTTATATGGCTTCCACAGTGCCTTGACTTATCTTATCTCATGGGGTTTGGGCAACCACTCTTGGAAGTAGATAACTCTCATTATTAACTTCACTTTGCAGATTTCGAAATTAGGGCCTAAAAAGGTTAAATGACCTGCCTGATGTTACACATGCAGAAAGTGTGGGGTTATTTGTACATCTGATTTTCTAAGAATGATAACATTCATGTTTGATGATCAGTAGTGGTTAAGAATACAACACTGGGCTTTGTTGTCAATAGACAACAGAGTCAAGTAAGATAAAAAAACAAAGTAAGCTAAAGTATTGTCAGTAATTTACTTTAAAAATTCTTAAGTTTTTAGAATGGTGTGTGTGTGTGTGTGTGATATGTGTGTGTATGTGATGTGTGTGTGATGTGTGTGTGTGGTGTGTGTGTGTGTGTGTGTTTATGTCAACATTGATCTAAACTCCCAGGGCTTTTATTTACCATGTGGAGGACACTAATGAGGAATCCTAACTACCTTAATTTAGACCTTAATTTGGAATCAGTTTTCCAGAAACAACTAAGGCAAGCCTTTAAATATTACCATCAGAATCAGCAGTAACAGGTCCATTGATCAGTGTAAGGACTGTTGGATAATTTATTTTGATGAAATAAGTGGCATAATTATATGTGATTGGTTGCAAGACTGGCAAAGTTGCCTCCACCCGTGTATGAATGGAGTAAAAGCATCCAGCAAACCCAGTAGTCTCCCCACTTTGGAGTGGTGCTCAGGATGTGGAAATCTGTTTCATCCTTCACTTGATCGGACTGACAGACCAGATGTTCCCACCTTCCCATAATGGTTGCAATTGCCAGGGGTGAATTCTTCTATACTTAATGTGCTTCCCAGGGAGCCTAAAAGGATGCAGCAGCATAGAAGCTTAAGAGATCACGTTTTATGAAGGATTCTGCATCAGCTGGTTCATACATAGAGCTAATAAATGTCTGTATGAGTTCAGTCTGAGACTTGCTTTCCACACAACACCTGGTAAGGAGGATTGGGAGAAGAGACATGGTTTCTGACCACCTCTAATGTTCAGAGGCTGTCAGTATGTCAGTATTTCCCCCAAATTATTTGGTATTTGGGAACAACCAAAGGGTCTTAGGTTGGAACACAACAATCAGGGTTCTCAGATTTCACTTGGATTTTTGTAGTTAAGGCCCTAATATCAGCCCTAAACCCTGTCTTCTCATATTTAAACTACAAGCGCATCTCTGTCACACAGTCTCTGGCTCCAGCATGGCCTCAGGCAGGGAATGGTCCAATCATGCCCAGTATGTCTGGGTCTCTGTAACCAGGAATCATTGTGGGATTCCAAGGAGCTCCCCATGTGTTGAGGAATAGAGAAGAGATTGGGATCTAAAGACATTGAATTCTGTAGGGGCATTCCAATATATAGATCCAAATCACAGGCCCACAGGGAGCATGCAAAGTGTTCATGCTGGATGGAGGATGAATGATTTAATCAGTGCAATCAGCCCACAGCAATTCCTCCAAACTCAATAGGAGGTCCATTACGGTTTACTTTTTAATGGAGCTAGACTTCCTTTAGCGTGGGACATGGCCCTAAAAAATAAAAAGAAAATTAATCAGACTTCTGGGTTCAGCTTTGACATGTGAAGAGATCAGAAGTCATCAATAAGAAAAAGCTTCCCAACACTTTGGGAGGCCGAGACAGGCAGATCATCTGAGGTCAAGAGTTTGAGACCAGCCTGGCCAACATGGTGAAACCTCGTCTCTATTAAAAATACAAAAGAATTAGCTGGGT
This sequence comes from Homo sapiens, assembly GCF_000001405.40. Lineage (NCBI taxonomy): Eukaryota > Metazoa > Chordata > Mammalia > Primates > Hominidae > Homo > Homo sapiens. The sequence goes on from NW_025791787.1 coordinate 279,912, forward strand.
GTGGTGGTGCACGCCTGTAATTCCAGCTACTTGGGGGACTGAGGCAGGAGAATCACTTGAACCTGGTAGACGGAGGTTGCAGTGAGCTGAGATTGTGCCATTGCATGCCAGCCTGGGCGACAAGAGCGAAACTCCATCTCAAAAAAAAAAAAAAGGAAAAAGAAAAAGCTGAAAAAAACCTGAAAATCAATGACTTTTTCTAGACCCAGCAGAGAACTGAGATTACAAACCACACCCTGAAGTCTGTCGAGACAGGTGAATCCAGAGACACAGCCAAGATCTACTGGCCTGGGGAAGAAGCTGCTGGAGCAGTAACTGGCAGGAAGTCTTAAACATGAATTTTGATGACTTGCTGGAGGCTGAGTATGGACTAGTGTGAAAGTGGGTATCTCCTATGGGCTGCAGTCCTAGAGGGACCCACTGTTACGGTTTTTACCTTCAGAAATCCCAACAGCTTCTCACAATGAAGAGAAAAGCAAGATCTCCTCCTGTTTCTGGTGAGGGGTGGGGAAGAATAATTCTCATGAAGCTCCCCTGGAGCCTTCTCCGTAACAGAGACCTGCTCGTCAGGGAAAAACACTTTATTACAATCTTCCCCCAGCTGGAGAAAAGGCATTGCTCCCACTCCAGCCCACTCTAGACTTCCTGTCTCACCAAACAGGAAGGAAGCAATACGACTAGAGAAACACTTGTGAGGGTCACAGCCTTGAGACAGAGGCCCATGAAAAAAACTACAATTTAATCATAAGATTATAGAATAATGCCCCCTCCGCAACCCCAAGCACACTCCTCTTAGCACGACACCAACAGAGCTGTGGTAGAATAAGAGTGAATTACAGCTGGAAGAGCTGCAAGTCACAGACTCTCTCCGAGGAAGAGCACTTAGGGAAGCCCAAAGTTAAAAATAGAGCAAAAGCCAGGAGAAATTTGGGGCCTGTGGCATATACGGCTACAGCAAATACTAATCAAAGTTCAACTCCTAGCCAAATTCACGTAAAATTTCAAACTAAAGACTAATTTGCCTTAGACCCCATTATTCAATAAAACATGTCCACCTTTCTTTTTTTTTTTTTCTGAGATAGGGTCTTGCTATGTTGCTGAGGCTGGTCTCAAACACCTGGTCTCAAGCGATCCTCCTGCCTCGGCCTCCCAAAGTTCTGAGATTACAGTCATGAGCCACTATATCCAGACAACGTATTAACCTTTCAACAAGGCAATGCTAAAAGGCAAGCAAACCAACCAACCCCCCAAAAAAACCCCACCAAACTTGAAACCCAAAGTCTGAAAAGACAGAGCAAGCATTAGAAGCAGACTCTCCCATGATACACATGTTGGAATTATCACACAGGGAATTTAAAATAGCTATTATTAATATGTTGAGAGCTCTAATGCAAAAAGTAGATAACCTGCAAGAAGACATGGATAATGAAAGCAGAGTGATGGAAACTCTAAAAAAGAATCAACAGAAAAAGCTAGAAAGTCAAAAGCACTGTGACAGAAATAAAGAATGCTTTTTATGGGCTCATGAGTAGACTGAATATGGTCATGGCCAAGAAAAGTATCAGTGAGCTCTTTTTATTTTTTATTTTTTATTTTTGGAAACAAAGGTTGCAGTGCAGTGCTATGATCATGGCTCATTGCAGCCTTGACCTCCTAGGCTCCAGTGATCCTCCCATCTCAGCCTTCCAAGTAGCTGGTACTACAGGTGTGCACTAGCATGCCTAGCTAAATTTCTTTACTCTTTGTAGAGATGAGGTCTCACTATGTGGCCCAGGCTGTCAGTGAGCTTTAAGGTAGGTCAATAGACACTTGCAATACACACACACACACACACACATGCACACACACACAATTCAAGAAAGTACTGTGGGGCAATTACAAGAGATATAACTAAGTGCAGTTGCAATAACAGGAGAAGAGAGAATGAAGCAAAATAAATATTTGAAGTAATAATGACCAAAAACTTTCCCAAATTAATGATAGAGTACAAATCACAGATCCATGAAATTGAAAGAACATAAAAAATCTAGGCTTGTAGGGAAAACATTTATACCATATCATGTTCAAACTGCAGAAAACTAAAGACAAAGATCAAATTTTGAAAGTAGCCAGAGAGGAAGAAAAAACTTTACTTATTAAAAAAATAAGGATAAGGACTACAGCAGAGTTCTCATAAGAAACCATGTCAGCAAGAAAAGAATGGAGTGATATATTTAAAGTGTGAAAGAAAAAATCCCCACCAAACTAGAATTCTATATTTAGCCAAATTTGTTGTTCAAAAGGGAGGAGAAACAAAGATTTTTAACAAAAACTGCACATCATCCTCAGCACATCTTCCCTGTAAGAAAAGTTAAAGAAGCTTTTCAGGGGGAAGAAATGTTACATAGGTCAAAAACCCAGATCCATGTAAAGAAAGGAAGAGCACCAGAGAAGAAAGAAGTGAAAGTAAAATAAAATATTATATTTTCCTTAATCATATTTGTATTCATCTGTTCTCACACTGCTAATAAAGACAAACCTAAGACTGGGTAATTTATAAAGAGAAGAGGTTTAATGGACTCACAGTTCCATATGGCTGGGGAGGCCTCACAATCATGGCAGAAGGCAAATGAGGAGTAAAGTCACATCTTACATGGTGGCAGGCAAGAGCGTGTGTGTAGGGGAACTCCCCTTTATAAAACCATCAGATCTTGTGAGACTTATTCACTATCAGGAGAACAGCACAAGAAAAACCCACCCCCATGATTCAGTTACCTCCAACCGGTTTCTCCCACAACACGTGGGAATTATGGGAGCTATAATTCAAGATGAGATTTAGGTGGAGACACTGCCAAACCATATCAGTATTAATGTAAAGTGTAACAATTTTCTGTTCATTTCTTGTTTCTAGTTCATTTTTTTGCTTCTGTGGCAAAAAAGAAACACTTGAATTTTTTTTAGGTTTTCATTCTGTGTTTTTGAGAATATCTCGTGTTTTTCGAGTATATCATGTTGTGTCACTGTCTTGGTGGCTGGTCTAAATATTAAAATATACATGTGACAACATAGTCTACTGGTGTCAGCATTTCATCACTTTCAGCAAAATGTGGAAGCCTTAATTTTATTTAGGTCCTTTTAGCTCCTTATTTTTAAATATTGTCGTGTGTCAGATGGTGTGATGATATTTTTCAGCCATCATATATGATTTAGAGAGTTCATGACAAGAAGGATAACCTATTGCATTTACTCACCTTATTCCCTTTACACTGGTCTTTCTTCCTTCTTGATAGTCCAAGATTCCTTCCTTTACTTTGTCTTTCTGTTTAAAGTGTTACTTTTAACGACGCTTTAAGGGTAGGCCTGCTAACAACACAATATTTTGGTTTTCCTTCTTCTGGGAGTGTCTTTATTTCTCTCATCATTTCTGGGGAATATTTTCATACAGAATTCATTATTGACAGTTCTTTTTCTTTTCAGTGCTTGAAAAATGCAGTGCCATTTCCTTCTGGCCTCCACGGTTTCAGATGAAAAATCCTCTGTCCTTTGAATTGGTGTTTGTTCCTTTATATATAATGTGCCATTTCTCTCTGGCTGTTTTCTATTATTATCTATTTCTAATTGGTAAAAACTAATTGTGTGTTTTTGTGAGGTACAATGTGATGTTTTAATTCATGTATACATTATAGAAAGATTAAATCAAGCTAATTAACATCCATCTCCTCACCAACTTATTATTTTTTGTGGTGAGAATGTTAAAAATGTATTATTTTAGAAATTTTGAAATAGTGATTTTTTTCTTTGTCTTCTGTTTTCAGAAGTTTAATGAATGATATATTTTGGTATGAGTTTCTTTGGGTTTTTGCTATCTGTGGGTTGCCCGGCTTCTTAAGCCTGTATTTCACCAAGTCTGGATATTTACAGCCACTATTGCTTCAGCTACTCTTTTATGTCTGTTCTCTTTTTCATCTCCTTCTGGGATTCCAATGATACAAATGTTGTCTCATTTGTTACAGTCACACAGGTTGTGAAGTCTCTGTTCATTTTTTAGGTCCATATTCTCTCTGTTAAGATTGGGTAAATTCTGTCGATCTGTCATCAAGTTCACCAATTCTGTCCTCTGTCATCTCCACTCTACTGTTGAGCCTACTCAGAGTGTTTAATTTCTGCTATTGTATTTTTCAGTTTTACAGTTCCCATTTGTTTTTTTTTGATTCAATTTTTTATGAGATTTTCTATCTTTTAAGTTTTCCAGAGAATTTGTAATTGCTTGTTAAGTCACTATTAAGATCGTTGCTTTAAACTTTTTGTCTGATAATTCTAACTCCTGATTTGTCTCAGTGCTGGCATCAGTGGATTATCTTTTCTCATTAAAGTTTGTTATATTCTTGGTTCTTGGTAGGATGGATGATTTTTTGATTGTAAGCTGGACATTTTGCCTATTATTTAGGAAACTATGGGTTCTGTTAAATTATTTTATTTTATTTATCACTAAAGTATATATATATATTTGAGACAGAGTTTCACTCTTGTTGCCCAGGCTGGAGTGCAATGGCACAATCTCGGCTTATTACAACCTCCACCTCCCAGGTTTAAGCGATTCTCATGCCTCAGCTTCCCAAGTAGCTGGGACTACAGGTATGTGCCACCACATCTGACTAATTTTTGTATTTTTAGTAGAGATGAGGTTTCATCATGTTGGCCAGGCTGGTCTCAAACTCCTGACCTCAGGTGATCCACCCGCCTTGGCCTCCCAAAGTGCTGGGATTACAGGTGTGAGCCACCGTGCCCAGTCACTAAAGTCAATATTTTAAGTATTTTATTTATTTTCACTTTTAACTTGTTAAGGTGTAGGACTTGTTAAGGTCCTGGCCTACTTTTGTGGCACTCTAATTTGCAGAGCCCTAGTGGTGCTAATGTGAACTGGGGGGTATATCTCATGCTGCTGGGCTCCCGTCAGGCACCTCAGGTGTTGTCTGAGAAGGCAGATGAAGCTTCCCCTGGCTGGGTCTCTATGGAAGAGGGGCATCGGCAGACGGTGGGGACAATGAGGCCTCCCAGTCAAGGCCCTTGCTGTGGCAGGATGGCTCCTGCTTGTGGGGGCCAGGCACATGTAGGGGCAGGATCCCCATTAGTGGTGCCCCAAGGTGGGTGGTGAGGGGGGTTCTCTGCCCCTGTGTTAAAGGAAAAGAGCACCTCCCCTGGTGGCCTGTTGTCAGCAGGGCTCCAACTATGCTTAGATGGTTGCTTGGCCCGCCTGATGTTGCTGCAGGACTCTGTTTGATTAGAGGGACAAATGAGCCTACCTGGGTTACCTTCCATAGCTAGGTTGGGTATTGGAAACACTGGGTCTGGTGGCCTGCTTCCGTCGAGTGAGGGCTGTAAAACACTCTGCCACTGCGTTGTCCAGTCCCAGGCTCACAAACCAGTTCACATTTCTCTTTTCATCTTTCATTGTTTCTTATGTTATTTACAGGGTTTTTGGTTGTGCTTTCCAGTGGGGAGGTGAGACAAGTCCAGAGTAGATATTTGCTGGCTTTATTTTAAATAGCAAATTCTATAATCTTTTCTTTTCTTTTTTTGGAGACAGTCTCGCTCTGTTGCCCAGGCTGGAGTGCAGTGACACAATCAGCTCACTGCAGCCTCCGCCTCCCGGGTTCAAGCTATTCCTCTGCCTCTGGGATTACAGGTGTATGCCACCATGCCCCGCTAATTTTTTGTATTTTTAGTAGAGACAGGGTTTCACCATGTCAAGAACCAGGTTGTTCTTGAACTCCTGAGCTCAGGCAATCTACCCGCCTCAGCCTCTCAATGTAATAATTCTTTTCATCGTAAAATTATTCAAATAAATGTCCTTTTAGCACTTTGTGCTGTGAATAAACAGCTTCATTTGCCAACTTTGTAAAGTTTCTTCTCAAACATTTAACAGTCCCAGAAATTTAAGAGAATTCCACCAGCCACGGTTTAAATTTGTGACCTTCAAAGTAACAAAAAAGTAAACTAAGATCTGTTTGCCATCTGTGGTTTGTTTCCATCTGATGAAGTAAAATTAGGTGAGAAGACATTCTCTTCCAAAATAGATAACATTCAGCAATGCTGGAATCCTTTAATGAATATTTCTGAAGTTTCCAAGGAAAAAATCATTGGCAGCCTCAAAAGGCTTAGTTTGAGACTAAAAAGAGGGGCGCTGTTCTTGAATTTCCAAAAGGTCCACAACTACCCTGGCATTCCAACACCTCCTTACTTGCATTCCATTCTTCCCTTGATTCCTTCTAGAATCACGTGGCTCTGGGCGATGAGAGGACCTGGCTTCTTCTCCCTTCCATGTAGCTCTGCATCCAGGGTGACTTGAGCATCCCCAGCTTCCAGACAGGAGCTCCCCCAGCCTCAGAAACAGTGCATTAATTCAAAGTGCTAACAGCACCAGTTTCTTAGCCCTTTTTTTACTGGTTTGTGGGAACATAATGCTGCAAGTGACAGGGCAAAAGAGAATCCAAATCAGGTCCCGTGCCTGTCAGGAGTGCTCTTCAATGTGCATGGCACCTCCTACCTCTCACACCCATCCTAGCTCCCAACATCCTTGCAACTGGCTACTTCAACAGGATCAGGGGCCAGCCCAGGGATTCGTCTGTCAGAGGATCACAGAACATACCATTGTCTCATAAAGACTGCTTTTAGTAAACAAGTGAAAAAGAACTTACATAGACAAATAGGCATAAATATAGACTCCTCGTAAAGTTGAAATTCTATAAATCAAGGAGTGGGCAAGGGATAAGTGTGCATGGGTCAGAGGAAAAGACAGAGAAATGAGTGGCGGGAGACTTAAGGAAGGCAAATGAATGAGTCAGGGGCTCTGAGGGGCAGGGGAGCACTCCATACACTAACTGCTTTCTGAGCGGAAAGATAAGAGCAGCAGGAATTTTGTCACCTGATAAAGCTCTTGAATCCTTGAGATGGGGGAGGCCAGAGGAAATTAGGCCAAGATTAAATAGTAACATAAAAAAGGGCAAGATAAACTCCCACCAAGGCTAGTGTTTAAACAAATTATGTTGCTTCCCTGAGTTATATGCAGTTATTAAAAGTCATTTTTGAAGAATATTTAATGATAAGAGGAAATAGCATATATCAATAATAATTACAATCTTCTTTCAAAAAATTATATGAACTTCAGTTTGGACAATAAGGTAAACTAAATAACTTAAAAACTATTACCTAGAAATATAAAATAACAAATATTGTTTTCAATGCATAAGTGAGCAGAAAAAAATGGCACAAAGTGAGAGTTCAGAAAGAGGGCTAGAACATTTGGAAATATGTGACCCACGTGGGGTTCTCGTGCTGGGAAATACAGATTATTAATTAAATGGACTGGTCCCTTTGCTATTCATGGGCTGAAAATATAAAACTCAATCCCAGATCTCCACATAGAGAAATTTGATGATGTAAAGACCTACAAGAAAACAAGGAAGATCTTATGCCCTCAGGGTGGAAAGGCATTTCTAAGACAAGTGTCAAAAGCATAAACCAAGAAAGGAAAAAAAAACACAAAAACCATACCTTCTTTTAAGTGAAAGCTTCTGAATGACAAAGCATACTTTAAGAGTTCCAAGAGATAGCCCTTAGTTTAGGAAGAATATTGGCAATGCTATAACTGAAGTTGGATTAGTGAAAAAATATGAATGTTTCCTACATATCAGTGAGAAGGAGATAAAGAAACCATATTGGAACAAAGAGCACCTGTGCATATCCAACTCTTCCTCTATTCACAGCCTCCCTTCCTAGACTGGCCATGTGCCAAAATTTGGCCAATGACATTTGAACAAAGAGCTGTCCTTCATTTATAGGTCTGGTCTCTAAGATGTCCCTCCCATGTAATCTTCCACGGGCTCTGTCTTCCCCATCTTCATGGCTGGAAGTGAAGGCTTCAGAGAGTCCCCCAGTGGAATATTCCTGGGTCCCTGGGTCCCCTTGGAGAGGAGCCATGGTCTGGGCTAGATCCACATCAGGCTAGCATGTGAAGAGGAGATAAATATTTACTGTGTTACATCACCAAGATGAGTTGTTTGTTGGAGCAGCCAGTCTTAATTACCTTTATCTATTCAAAAACTAGTGCCAGGAGTGGAGTGCTTACACATAAAAAACCTGAGCTATATGGTATTTTCTTAGTTTTGGTGGTAGGCGTCAAAGAAACAAAAACCTAAGCCTGGAAACACGGAAATCCATGTTATGAACTGGTACATATTTGGTAAAACATGTTAGGAGGCATGTCATATGCCTAATTAAGCTGGCAGCTTGAGGAGAAGTGAATCAGAAAGATTCAAGGTGTATCTGGGCTCCTTTTGGAAAGGTGTTCCAACAATGAGGTGAGCCCAAGAAAAAACCGGGCTGTTTATAGGGAGAAATATAATGGGACTGGGAAAGTCCAAACATTCTAGTCACTGCAGGGTTGGAAGAGCCAACTGCTTTCAGATCACAAACAATAAGACGAGACTTGAAAATAATTTGTTCAACTACAGCTATAAATCTTTCTCAGTGATTAAAGAGAAAGATCATAGTGAGGGTATGCCATTCCCACACAAGCCTGAGAGCCTCCAGAAAGTTGAGAAGAAGAGGAATAAGGGTGAGTAAACATTATAATACAGAAAGGTTTGAGTCTATATTCAGGAAAACACACACACACACACACACACACACACATGTTATGGGCATAGTGACTGAGGTTTGAACCTGAATGGAAGCTAATGGACCAGAAATCAATTAGGTTTTTGGGGAAATCATGTTCCAAAGACACCATTAACAGGAGCAACAGCAACAAAAATGTTGACTATTTGAGGTCCAAAGACTTCTGTGGGAGATTACATTTTCCAAAATGATCACACTACTACCTCTCACGCCATCTGCTCTTTTGAGAAGTGACCAATACACCTCTCACTGAGGCATAAGGTGGAGGTTGTCTACGTTCTCTCCCCTTAACTATGGGTATGCTTGTGACTGTGGCGGAACTGGCACTATGCAATTTCCATGGTAACTCATGAAGGATGATGAATCGTCTATCTGGTTCTCATGGGACGTTTGCTCTTAGGACCCAGTCACCATGCTGTGGGGAAGCCCAACAGCCCTGGGGGGAGCCCCACATGGAAAGAACCAAGTCTTCTGGTCCTTAGCTCCAAATGAACTCCCAGCCATGGCCAGCACCAACTTGTCTGCCTTGTGAGTGAGCTGTTTTGGAAGCGGATTCTCCAGCTCCCATTGACACCACTGAGCCCTGCCCTATTGCAGATTTGTGAACTAAATAATTTTTGCTTTTTAAGCCACTAACTTTTGGAAGTGTTTAGTACACAAAAATAGATGACCAGAACAGCCTCAAGAGCAAGACTCAGGCTTCAAAGCCTGTACATTCTCAAGGAGGAATGTACATGTTCCTGCCCTACCCATGTTTCCCATATGACCAATAAAATATACAAGGAAAGGCACCTAGATATTGAATCCATGGGTCCTGAAAACCAGTGGAGCCCACTGTATGCAGTGGAAACCCATTAAAACTTTGAACTCATCATTGCAATGTGTCTTCTGTTCTTCCCTTTCTTGAACAAGGGTTTTACCGCAGGCATATAGCCCTGCTCTGCTGTTGTCTGTAGGATCTATGGGAAGGAGAGGTGGATGGCTTACTTTTTAGCCCACAGAGAGATTTTTCATCTGGTCCTGGTGGAAAGAAACATGCATCACCTGGACCTTCCAGACTTTGAGCTGAGCTGAGTGCAGACACTCAAGGGCATTTTGTAAGGTTTCCTTGGGAGGACATGAGTATGCTGTATGGATGGGCAGAGGGGAGTAACCTGATATTTCTTGAGCAGCAGGGCAGAATTCACAGAGGTCATTAGTGCTCACCTGGATCCATATGCACCTTTACCTTCCCAGACTCCTGCAGTTAGGGTGATCAAGCGACTGACTTCTGGCCAATGAAATGTAGGCAGCCCTTTCCCCATCCAGGCTTGGCTCCTAAAATGTCCCACATCATCTTCCGTGTTTTTTCTCACTCCTCTATCTTCATGACTAAAGGCAAAACTCTAAGATGATTGAGTCACTTGATCCCAGTCTAATCCCAGATTAGAGAGAGAGAGTTCCAAAAAGAACTGGTTCATATCACACATGTGTTGAGCAAAATTAACCTTTTTTGATGTTAAGCCGCTAGGATTTGTGGTTATGCACTACACTATGTAGGATTAATTAGCCTGTTGATTATAACAAGCAAAGAATATGAATAGATATATAAAAGAGGAAATGAAAAGGCTCTCAGCATGATGCAAATCAAAACAGCATTTAAATACCATTTCCTCACCATCAGATTGGCAAAAACCAGTCTGCTAATACCAAGGAAAATATAAAGTCTTCAATACTGCTGGTGGGAGTGTGTGGAGGTTGGAGTTCAGGGTTGGAAACAGAAATCAATCTAGTTTAAGCAGGAAGAGATTTCCTGCAGATAGTGGTGTGCTGGCTGGATCAGGGGAGGGGTGTGTTTCCAGGAATGTCCCAAGAATATGCATAACTCCACTTGGGCAGCTGCCAACCCTGCCATATGTGAGCGGTGGGAAGTTGGGAGGCTCTGTTAAAATCATTAGGTTTGAGAGCAAACTCGTTTACCTGTGTGTCAGAGATAAGTGAGCTGGAATGGAGTGGCCATGGCTGCCACATGGTGGGGTAGGCAGCTGAAGGCAGCAAGTGATGTCTTCCTCTGGTTCTACAATCACTTATATGAGCACTCTGCCAGTATGATCATAGGTGAAATGACACATAGCCTATGACTAGAAATCCTACTTCCTGGTGAGCACAGAACGATGTGGGTAAGAGGATTTCTCAGTAATGTTTGTAACAGTGAAAATGTTGGAAACAACAAACTATCTCTCAGCATAGGAATGGATAAATGAATCGTTTCTTGACTGGATGGAATATTACAGAGCAGTTAAAATAAATGAACTATATCTACATACATCAACAAAGGTCAATAGCAAAAACATGATAATTCAAGGAAAAGACATGACAAAAAGATGCATGAATATGTCAATGAGTCATATTCTAAAAAGCATCAAAGCAACTGCCTATCTTATTTTTAAGTACACACGTTGTAGTGATTGCTCATGACATATATAAACCTAATTTAACTGAGGGGTCACCTCTACAGAAAGAGGGATCGCTGGCAGATGATGAAGGGATTTTAACTCAAATATTTTATCTTAAATAGTTGTTTATTTTATTTATAAGAATTTATTAAATTCTTACTTGTTTATCTCAAATATTTTATTTATTTATTTATTTTTGGGGGGGCCTGGAGCAATGATGACACAACACGCACAGGTATCAATTCTTGGTGGTAGATGCGCAAGTGGCCAGTATATAATTCCATGGATTGGTTGGCTTTGAACTATTTCTTAATTAAAAAGAAAATTAGAAAGTGTATTCAGTAGAATTATATAAATATAAAGAAAACTGAAAGTAACAGATTGCTCATACCTGGGAAAACGATAAACTAGAATTATAATCGTAGTTTCATGCAATTTTGTATTTTTCATATATGCATATATAACATTTATAACCCATGTTGGTATCTGTCAGCTAAGGACCAGTAGGGACACATCTGTGGCTGACAAAGTTAGATTTCTTAATTGCTATAACAAGAGGGCTCACACACTATGGGGAACCACGTGTGACCTGGGGTGAAGAGTGGACCTTATTAGCGGTTTAGTGAGTATGAGGGCTGGAGTCAGCTGCAGGATGGTCTTGCAGGCATTGGTCAGACTCTGTAAATGAGGAGATGCTGGAAGAGTCAGTGGCCTTATTTTTAGAGTACTTGTTTCCAAATAAAGTTTTATCTTGGAACGCAGTCAGAGAACATTTAAGAGAAGGGCCACTGGTTACCAATCAGTTGATGACAATGAATTCAGCTCCAGTTTCTCGAGGAAGACCTTTGAGAACATGAACACCTTAAATTTCTCTGGCTTTCCCAATGTAAAATATGGAGTCATACTGGAAGTTCTTTACAAAATAGAACCATATTTAACATTTCTCCTTATACCTTGATGACTGTACTTCTTTACAACTTGCCTACTTGGGTATTTTTAAAACAGTGATTAGATGTACTAGCCTTTGCTTCGAGTTCTATTTCTGGTTTTTCTTTTTAAAGAAAAGAATAGTAGAGTGAGAAAGGATGACTGCTTTCGTCTCACTTAATTTTGCTTTGGAAAGACATGGCTGACCGTGTGGTGGTCACTTGTCTTCATGATAAAGAATGTATTCAGGACAAAATAAATAGCTTTGACATATCTGGTCTGAAAAACTTATAAAGTGATAGCAATGGACACAAGCAAAGGTCTCATGTAGTACAGGAGCCAGATAATTTCTAGAGCCAACCAGCAGCCCCCAAAAATGTGTAATTATGGCCACAAACTTATGGCCCTTTCTCCTTTCAGCTTTTGGCTTTGTCACTCTGAAAAATTATCCACTGGGAATACCAAGCTCTGAATTTGTTTTTTAAAAACATTATTTATTATTTTATTTTTTTACTTTTTGATTTTTTGTAGAGATGGGGGTCTCACAATGCTGCCCAGGCTGATCTGGAACTCCTGGCCTCAAGTGGTCCTCCTGCCTCAACCTCCCAAAGTGTTGGGATTACCCATGGGAGCTGCCATGCCTGGCCTTATTTCCTTATTTTATGCTGAGAATATAGCCTTGAAAAGCTTGCCTCTCATCAGATCTTTGGAGAGATCTTTTCCAGCAAGTTCACCTTTTCCTCTTGTCGTCTGTCTTACAGAATAATCATCCCAGCAGACTGCAAGGATTTTTATGCCCGGAGAAGCACTGTCTTCAACAAGGGACATGGAAAAATTTCAGTTTATGTTTGAAGAGAACATGGATTCATTTGAAGAGGGATGTTGGAGGAGGAGGAGGCTGATGCGGGGAAACACCGCCTCTGTGGTCCGCGTTTGAGAGGTTACAGGGCCATCTGCTCAGCCTCCACCCAGTGCCACTGGGTTCTCCTGGATGGGGGCCTTCAGTGTCACAGATCTTTGGGGATTACCTCCTGACTCAGTAAAGAGTAAGGCAAGATTAGAGTATCCCAAGTTTGAGAGTAAGAAGCACTACCGTGGTGGGTTCCTGCTTTCTCCCTGTCAGTGCCTCCTCTTTCCTGGACGTGCAGTTTGGGAGCAGTTGGCCCCACCTCCCAAACCAATTTCTAAGAGCCCGTTGGGATTGCCTTAAACCAATCAAGACATGAACTCCACCATGATTGGTTCAGGGATAATCATACGACTCAAATCAGTCCAATCAGGTTCAGTAGCACTCAAGTGCAAGACATTTGGGTCCCAGAGAAGCAAAACACTTTCCTCCTGATTGGAAGCTGGCAGCGAGAGAGGAAGCTGCTGAGCACCATTTTGAGATGGTGGAGGGAAAGCCAGTGCTGAAGAGACACTTTTGAGAAACTGAGGGAAGAAATCAGTGCACAACATTTGAACACCTGGGTCACCTGTTGCCTGAAGCCAGCCTTGCCTTTAGACCTTTGCGCCCAATAAGCCAACACATGTCCTTTCTTTTTTTCAATGCCACTTTAAGTTATGTTCTCCATTACAACCAAAGCTCTAGGATAGGAGTGTGGCTATCCTGGGGTCTGCTCTTTGGACAGAGTCCTTATGGCCGTGACAGAATCACCGTGAAAGGAGCTCTTGACTTGGTGTTGGGGCATCCAAGCTCTGATCTCATTTAGACTGAACTGGTTGGCTTTCTCTGAGACTCCAGTCCTCATGTGTGATAGAGATGATCCTTCCTGGCCTGTTTAACACAGAACTGATGTGAAGTCACCTGAGACAGAGAAGAGGAGAGCACACCGAAGAGTCTGAAGCTAGTGAGGCCGCTGTGCTCCTGGGAGCAGGCCGGACACTCCCTGGGGAGGCACGGTTGGGGCCAGCCTTCTGGAACCAGGCAGGCATGAGGCCAGGAGGCACTGTGCCCATGAAGGGAGAGACATGCTGGAAGGAGGGGATGAACAAGGGAATGTCCAGCCTGTGCCAACACCTGTGGGCAGGTGAAGGTCCTGTCCTCATTACACGTCCACCTTCAGTGTCTATATTTCTGCTTACCATGACACAGGAGAATGGCAGAGTTTGGGGCAGAAAGTCCTTTGACCTTGATGCTGTGAGTCCATGCAGAAGGTAGCCACCTGGCAGGTCATTAAAAAAGATTCAAGGATGTGATTCTATAGAACAGCTATGCATGCCCAGGAGATTCCTTTCTCCCCACTTTTGAGAAATTCTTTGAGAGCAAAATTAATTCATGTAGTATCTGTAGGAAGCAAATTATTTTCTTTACTTGGAAAGAATTCAAAAGACATGAGAGGGCAAGCAGTTGGTGGCAAGCACATGGCCAGTGAGAGACACAGGTGCTCCTCCTGCTGTAGACCAGCGTGGTGTTGCCTCGTGCTGAGCTAGCTGCCTTGCTAGAGGCCCAGGTTGCCTCTGGACTGCCCATGGGCAAACCATCCTTGCCAAACTCCCTGAGGTCAGCTCCTCCCAGCCTTGGGGGTCTGTACTGTGGCAGAAGCCCCTTGTGGTTCATCCCTCAGCCACGCTTGTGGCACCACAGCCACCCTCTATAGCTGCTCCAATGAACACAGCTCCACAAGGCAGCTTTTCTCACCTCTCCAGCCCAGGGTGGGTTGTGTTAACCATGTCTTCTATTTTCTATATTTCCTAATGCTTTTGTAACCATGAGACCAGCTTAAACCCACTAACAATTGCCTAAGCTGTTATACATGGCACAGAGCCAAAATTGCAAGACATGTATCCTTCAGCCTCCTAATTGGTAACAGGACCAGCATGGCAGTCTGGCTGCACTGGCATCATCTGGGACTAGTTAGAAATGCCATAAAAACTTGACCCACTCCCAGATAGGCCTAGATGGCTTGAGGTAGAGAATGCTACAATTTTAAAACATCATTTTGCGTCAGAGCACGGGAAACAGATTGGAGAATTGCCACCTATCTCCTTGCCAGTAGACTCACAATGGCATTGGCTTTTGCCTTTCTCAAAAGCCGGTGCCATAATATTGGCTCCTGTGTTCACTGGATTACGAGACCATTGCTCAGTGACACTTTGACAACTAGGGCCTTGCTGGCCCTGTATGGACTGCCCCTCCCAGGGTTCATCAATTTGTAAAAGTAGTAAACAACTCATACAAGAGATGCTTCTCAAATACAAACCAACCAATCCAGCGCCCACACCCCATCACCTTCCTTACTGGATTCTCACACTCTGGGCCACTGTGCCCCAGGGGCACCCCTTATGCCCCAGAGCCTGTTGAAGTTAGGATTGTTGCATTCCAATCCTAAGCTTGCTTACCCTACATCACTTATTCCTTCCCCTACATCACTTATTCCTTCCCACAGAAACCGCAATAAAGGCTCTTGGCCATGTTTTCCTCCAGTTCCCTCTGCTCCCTGACCAGCCCTAGTGCTTCCCCACACACCCCGGCATGAGGCAGGGTGTCCCCTCCTCTTGGAGTCTGAGTGACTGAATTATCTTTTCAATGGCACCCCTCTCCCTCCCCCCTCTCCTGCTCTGTTGGCCTTACTATACCTCCAGTTTTCTATCAACCCACTATATTTTGAAATCTGGGCCCAGTGACAACGGTCCTCACTCAGAAGGTTCCAGTCATACTTTCTAGGAGAAGCTCAAAGTTACACACCTTGCATTTCACAAGTGCCAGTTCATTGTTTTAAGCCTCAAATTTCTCAACAGAGCAGGAAACCATTGTTGTTGTTGTTCTTTCTGTGCCTCCACAACCCGAGATAAACATCAGCCTAGAGTTTGGACAGGGAGTTGTTTATTATTCTTGGAAAAATAAGGAGAGAGGAGGCAAGTCTTGCATCAGTGTGCTCGCCCCTAGAGAGCTGTTATCATGACACAAACCCCAGGAGGAGGCCATCTTGTGAACAGTGATAGCTTCTAGCTCCTTCCACTGTGCACCGGATGGGTCTCTTCAGACATGGAAGTGAGACAGGCAGCTGTGCCCAGACTGTGGGGCTCATCAGCTTGGAAACTTCTGCCCTTAGGAACATAAACCTCCGGCCCTAAGTGGTTCAGAACTTACTGCCACTCAATCCCCCTGGCATGGGGCTTTTAATTTATTTGCAACAGTTTGGAAAAACATGATTTAAATGGATAAAGTTCAAATATGAGCCAGCCAGTCTTGTCATCTTCATCACTGTACATTATTTACGTCAACAACAATCGTGAACTTGTATGAACTGTCAGGAACAGAACCCAAATGAAGTTTCCCCTCATCTATCATGTTTATTTTTCTTTGTTAGTACAGCCAGCACGTTTTGCATTTTTATTATCCAGTCTGCAACAACACCAACATTCAGCATGGCAGACTTCCACAATACGTTAGGGGAGCTGATGACTTAGGAACAACATCAAAAGGCAATGAAGCAAATGAAGATGAATTGGTGCTCATTTGCTTGCTTGCTGCTGTGCTATGAAGTAGGAGAGGAAGGGCAGGTTTTATGTATGTTGAAAAATAATTTTGTGTCATTTCAATTAACTAGAGCATGCTGCTGGAATAATAAGCTTGAAATGGGAATTTTTCCACTCCTGGCTTCTGCAAGGACAGACATGGGCCAGTTCTGTGGGGATGGTAAGCCCCTGCAACCCCTCTACTCAACCCCTCGGTAAAAATTCAGAGTGCTAATGGTGATGTCCTACAAAACTACAAATGAAAACCATATGACATCCCATGGTCCACCGTTTTTATGATCTATGAAAGGGAATCTCATTGCAAGAGGCATCTGAGGGCCACTTTCCGTGTTTGTGGGTAATGTGTCCACGTGGAGACAGGCTGTGGATACCTCCCCAGTGTGGGTCTCCCAACAAAGCAAGGGGAAGACAGTTTGCTCTTAAACATCTCCCCACACTCCTTTTATGGATTCACTCCCCTTAGCCTCTCCCATATGCTTCTGGACTGCCTCATGTCAAGAAACGGCTGGTTGTCTACCCAGCTCCCATTATGCCTTTATTCTTTAAGAGGAGTCTGATTTTATTCTTGGAGTTAGCGTTCCCAGGTATGAAATGAAACTTTCCATCCTCCATTACAGCCAGGGGTGGGCAGCAGACCCAGTTCTAGCCCATAAACCCAGTCAGAAGAGCTTCCAGCAGATGTCTCTGTTTCACCCCTTCCCCTTCCTCCTTGTTTTTTTCTTTCTTAACCTGACCTCCACTATCCTTAGACATGGCCTCCACCCTCAGGCTTTCTCTCCTTAGACATGGCCTCTGACCTCAGGCTCCCTTCCTCCTTAGAAGTTCCTTCTACCCTCAGGCTCCCTCCTCCTTATACGTGGCCTTTGCCCTCAGGCTTTCTCTCCTTAGATGTTGCCTCTGCCCTCAAGCTCCTTCCTCCTTAAATGTGGCTTCTGCCCTCGGGCTCCCTCCTCCTTAGATGTGGCCTCTACTTGGAAAGTTTAGGGACTGTGTTCATCCTTCCAGCCCCTGCCCAGTTCCTGGGTCTCTAACATGCTTGTTAAATGAAAAAATCAGTGGTTGTGGAATGCCCTTCAAATTTAGCTGGATGGATCTGTTGCAATGTTGTGTGGTATTTGCTTAGATACCCTAAAAATGCCTGAATCTTGCTCTGGCCCAGTGACTCCTTGTTTCTCTGAGGAGACGGTAGAACATGGAATCAACATTTCCAGCTGAATGGTGAGGTGAGCTGAAAAACTGCCCCGTCAACCCATAGAACCAGGAGAAACAACAGCATTGCTGTATACGGCCACTAAATTTTGGACAAGTTTGTTATGCAGACACAGACAACTGATACATGATCCTTTCTCCTTAATTCCTTATTCCCCCACTAATGAGGCAACTTGAGCATGTTTCTTACACCCTAATAGAGTGGATAAGAGATCAAAGACTTGAACAAGATCTATGCATTGCCTTGAAACAATACCTGCAGCAATGATTTCAGAGCAAAGATGCAGCCTTTGTGCCCCCCTGCAATGGATACAGTGACAGCGGCCTCAGGCCAAGCGCGAAGACGCTGGTGCTGCTTCCAGCCTGGCTCCCCTGGGCCAGTCTGCTTTGCCACACAAGCAGACTAAGTTGGCACGGTGTTTTCTTTTTTCGTTATTTTATTTATTTATTTATTTATTTTGAGATGGAGTTTCACTCTTATTGCCCAGGCTGGAGTACAATGGCTCTATCTCAGATCACCACAACCTCCGCCCCCGCCTGCCCCCACCCCACGTTCAAGCGATTCTTCTGCCTCAGTCTCCCAAGTAGCTGGGATTACAGGCATGCGCCACCACGCCCGGCTAATTTTGTAGTTTTAGTAGAGATGGGGTTTCTCCGTGTAGGTCAGGTGGGTCTTGAACTCCCGACCTCATGTGATCCACCTGCCTTGGCCTCCCAAAGTGCTGGGATTACAGGCATGAGCCACCGCACCCGGCGGCAGCACAGTGTTTTCAAAATATGCTCTGAGAAACAGTAGGGTTTCCACTAAGGTGCCATGGGGCAAGGCCAAGGGCATCCCCAGAACCTGGACTGTGGGACCTTCCCCTTTTGAGGGACAGGGATTTCTGGCTCTTGCCTGGGTTTTATATGTTGGGCTTCTATATACAATTTTATTTAAAGAAGGTATTTTGGTGTTTTTAACATGTGAACATCACTGAAAAAGATTATTTCTAGGGGCCTTTGGGGATCTAACACTGAGTAAGCCTGAAAAGTCTGTGGATCTGTGATTGGCACTCACAGCATCTGAAGAGCCACAGGGACTTGCAATGCCAGCATCATAAACCATGATCCTGGGGATTCAATACGGAAAACACACCCTTTTTCATAGAAAATTACTCCAAGACAATTGCCCATCCAAATGAAGCAGAGGGTGTTCTGAATGGAGGAATGAAGACAGATAGTGAAAAACAGGTAAGGACAGTCCACCCTGAATCCTGTCCAGTGCGGGGCCCCAACCAGGTGCTGGCCTGTTCCCTCTCTGTTTCCTATTTTGAGTGTTTTTTTTTTCTCTTTCTGTTTCTGGTTTCCATTGTTGGGTTTTCTAAATTTGCATTGCTCATGGAAGTATCTCCAACTCCTCCTCTTTGTCTTTGGCGTATCATCAAACTGTTTGTTGCTAATAAGAAATAAAATCCGCATACCTGCACTTTAGCTGGTTTAGACTTGCGTGGCACAATCAGAAAATACTCTCTTTGTCTCTCTAAGAAAGTCTTCAGTGGAGGGAATATTTCTCTTCCCCGGGGACGGCAATGCAGCAGGCCTTATACTTCTCTTACTATTTTTAAAAAAAACTCTTGATGGAAGTATTCTGTCTACTCAAGCCATCAAAACACAGTCTTAGAATATAGTCTCAATTTGGTCATTTGTGTTGAATCCTGTGTTGACCTGAATTGAGCGTCCCCTGCAGGCACATGTGGGCGGGCAGGCCAGTTCAGGGCCAGTCAGTCTGTCTGAGCCTGGTCTCTCCTGTTGTCCAGGGCCTCTCCACTTATGGCTGAGAGCTCACTGCTCCACATGAAGGTTTGGAGGAGGGACCACAGGAGGAGGAGAGCCCTGAGGACCTGCCTTCTGGGCCCAGGAAGGGCCTCCTGCTGACCCTCTCATAGTGCATTCTGGCTTGCCAAGCTCCCCTCTCACTGGGTGGGCGGGGAGGGTCTGTGACCGCAGCCCCTTCACCTGCAGTCGGGTTCACTTCTGCGGGTCGCTTACTCAGGGAGCCAGAGGTGGAGGGAGCTGAGCTGGCCTTTGATGCTGCTACCTCCCACACCAGGCCCACATCCCATCAGGCCTCCTGCACCCTGAGCTGCAGCCGGCTCTGACAGGGCATCACTCCCAGCACAGTGGGTCTCCCATTCCCCATGATCTTAACAGCCACAGGAAGCAGTTCCTCACACGGAAGCGGGCAGGATGAGCTCTTGACTTGAGCTAAAAGGGAAAACACCTTCCACACCTACAGGGGGCTTCGATACACCCTCCAAATAATCCTTTTCACAGAGTCTCCCAGCCTCCCCCACATGAGGCCTAGATGCTCCAACAGGTCCTCAGAGAGCAAAACCAATTTTTAATGAATTCCGTTGTAAATGTTGCATAAGCTCCGGCACCTCGTTTGAAATGCAGCCAGTCCTGTGCCCTGTTTTCCAAGCAGCGCCTTCATGTTAACATCTTTTCATCTCTGGGAAGAAAATTGCTTTCCATCAAAAGATTTAGAAAGCATGGGATTTATAATTCTCTTTAATAAGCAAAACATGCGTGCAGAAACGCTAAGAAATGAGCGTGTGGGGTTTCCCCACTCAGACCCAGGTCAAGGTCAGAGCCTCCAGGGTCCCTATGTGCCTTAGTCATTTATGTAAACAGTCCTTTACTTTAGGGCACTTTCTGTTGATCTATTGGCCATATACTTTTTTTTTTTTTTTTTTTTTGAGCTGGAGTTTCACTCTTGTTGCCCAGGATGGAGTGCAATGGCATGATCTTGGCTCAGTGCAACCTCCAACTCCTGGGTTCAAGCAATTCTCTTGCCTCAGCTTCCCGAGTAGCTGGGATTACAGGTGCCCGCCACAACACCTGGCTAATTTTTGTATTTTTAGTAGAGACAGGGTTTCACCACATTGGTCAGGCTGGTCTCCAATTCCTGACTTCAGGTGATCCACCCATCTTGGCCTTTCAAAGTGCTGGGATTACAGGCATGAGCCAGCGCGGCTGGCCATACACTTTTAAAGGAGGGGTCTGCTTTAAGATTTGGATGAAAAATAAATAAAATTAACTGCATGAAAAAGCAATTTGCAAATGGGTGGTCCAAGCCCCTCTTAAAGTTTGATACATCTTTCAAGCTGAGAGGAAGTCTACGTACCTCCACCATCTCCAGAGTTTGTTCCCTGCAAAAGTGATTTTAATGTAGAGCAATGAATTCTGCAAACTCACATCTCAGGCATGTTCCTAATAATAGACTGCCTCCCTGCCCCCACACTGGCAGCCGAATGTTGCCAGTCCCAAGGAATGCTCCATCATGATGCCATTTGCCTGTCAGGACTCTATCCCAGCAGCAGCTGCAGCTGATTATGGCTCGGCTGTGGGCTGTGTTTTTTTATGATCCACCTCCTCCCTTTCAAAATCAATCAGGGCACACTCATGGAAGTAAAATTAGAGGCCCTGGCCAGGGCTTCAGCTTGAGAAATGCACTTTCCCCTCCTTTTCAGGGCAGTGGTGTCCAAGGAGGCCAACAGAGGGGTGGACACCCCGCAAGAAGCCCTGTGACAGCCTCCACCCAGCGTGTCTCCATCTATAGGCAGTTGCTAAGAGACTTAAAATGCTTTTATTCCTGAAGTTTCTTCTTCTTTCCCCTCCTAACCACCCTGGTGTGGCCCTCAGCTCTCAGTAGATATTTCATGTTCTGCACTCCCCTTCCAACCATGTTTATTTCTGCTTTGGGATGCTTGTTGGAAATAGCATGCCATTCAAAGTCACAGACTGTCACCTTGTCCTTAGCTGCTGCCTTCATTTCAGTCCTTTTTTCTACCTATCGAGACTCATTGGCAACCACCATGTGGTCCCTCCCCAGTTATCCCACTGCTCTCTGGGGGCATCATCTGAGCTCGGTTGTCCCTCAGCAGCCTGGGCCAGAGCTGTCCTCTTTGGTTGATTCTTGAACAATCCATCACCTTCACATCCCAACGTGACATTTCCATAAGATCAAACTGCATTCTTTATCCATCCCTGAAGATACATATTCATTTTCAAAAGCTTTGGCTCTCAATTAAAACAGAGAGAGTCATTTGGTCGAGGGCTCTGTGGAAAAGACATTATTAGCTGGAGTATTCTTCTCTTCCCTGTGGTGAATGAGAGAGCATTTTCCAATTAAGGCACTCATTCACTTTCAAGAGGCATGTGCAGGGTGCTCAGATGCGGTATAAAGGAGAGCCAGGCAGATCAGTAGCAAACGAGAGGAAAAACTGGTGGAAAATTAAGAAGAAATGAGAGTATTCAGATGCCAGAAGAGAAAATGAAAGACTGATACAGTGACGTACTCCTGCCCCAGAAGCGGAGTGTCTGCTCAAAAGCGTGAATTTGTGCAAAAGGTTGTGCACCAAAGCAGAAGGGATTCTGTTTGCACAAATGCATGTTTCTATGGATGTGCACGAGATCTGTTGTTCTAACAAGAATTGCTGAGCATTTCCAGCAGGTCACTTAGGGGAGAAAGGACTCTGCAGCCTTCCTGGCCCATCTTCTTCCTAGGTATCCCGGGGGAAGGGCATTTCTGATCTGCCTGCTCCAAAGCTGGGACTAGTACTGGGCCATCTGCTATCGCCTCCCAGGTGATGTGCCATAAAGTCAGAACTCATGAAACATCTCCTGGGCAGCCTCCTTCACTTTCCACACCTGTAACGAGTGGAGAAATTTAGGCCTGGGTCTCTCTTTCTCTCACTCTCTCTGCCCCATCTTCGTCATACCAGATATTCCGAGCATGCTGGTCCCAAAATACAAGTAGTGTAGGGGAGGCCTGGAGAGAGTGAGGCAGGAGCTCAAGTTGTCCCAGAGCCTTGCGTGGGAGCTGGTTGTTGCTTTCCTGGCCACTGACAAAGCGCTTCACCGACCTCCAGTCTATTCTCATTTCCTGCCTTTGACTCCTCGGTAGAGCGCCGTGCATCATGACTGATGACTGACTCTCTTGCCGGCTCCCTGTGGTCAGTCCCTGGGTTGGGTTGAGGCAGACACTCCATCTTCATGGAGTGTGGTCTACTGTGGAATTTCCTGCTGTGTTGGTCTCTGCATCGGTCACTGTGATGGTCCCTGCTCTGGAACAGTGTAGACAACAACTGAGTCTGAAAGGAGAAGGATGGACAGGATCCAGATCCAGGGCTTTTCAAGTTGGGATTCCCCTGGGGCCAGGTAATCTATGTGCTCCAACAGCTCACTTTTTGAGTGGGCAATGTCACAGGCCAACTCCTTTGCTTCAGGTATATCAGGTGTACTAGGGTGTGCCAGAGTACCAGGTGTGCCGGAGGGATCAGACGTGCCAAGGGTGCCAGTTGTGCCAGGAGACCAGGTGTGCCAGGAACAAGGTGTGCCAGGGACCAGGTATGCCAGAGAACCAAGTGTGCCATGCGTACCAGGTGCATCCAGGGACCAGGTGTGCCACAGGACCAAGTGTGCTATGGGTACCAGGTGTGCCCAGGGACTATTCACATCAGGGGTACCAGATGTACAAGGCACCAGGTGTGCCAGGGGACCAGGTGTAGCAGGGATACCAGGTGTACCAGAAGTACCAAAGGTAGCTCAGCTCTTCTCCAGCTGATGATGCAGTGTTGACTCTATTTTTCTTTGAAATAAGAATTTTGTTCTCTCCTTCTCACACACGAAAATTATAAGGAAATTTATTTATATTTATTTATTTATTATAATGAAATTTAAGGAAAAATTGTATTTATAGTAAATACAAATAGATAAAAAGTTAAAACTATCTAAACTACCCCATTCAGGAATAACCACTTTAAATGCTTTAATGTCAGTCATTCCAATAATTTTTTGATTTTACATGTAATGTTTTCAATACACTCTACTTAAAAACAGAATCGTGATTTCAAAGCCTGTTAGTTCAAGAAACCTGACATTTTCAACATCTTTCTGTATCATTAACACACTCCTACAACATCATTGTTAATGGCCTTCTGGGATTCCATTACTTTGAATGTAACAAAACTTTTTCAACCAATCTCTTCATTTTGGACTTTCAAATTATTCCTCCCTTATTTATCTAACCTACTACTGATAGATGTTTGCTTGGGTAGTACCAACATAAAATAGCCTTGCCAGGTGCCAAGTGTGGTGGCTCAAGCCTGTAATCCCAGCACTTCGGGAGGCCTAGGTGGGCAAATCATTTGAGGTCAGGGGTTCGAGACCAGCCTGGCCAACATGGTGAAACCCAGTCTCTACTAAACATTCAAGAAAATTAGCCAGGCCTGGTGGTGGGTGCGTGTAATCCCAGCTACTGGGAGGCTGAGGCAGGAGAATCACTTGAACCTGGGAGGCAGAGGTCACACTGAGCCGAGATGGCGCCGCTGCACTCTAGCCTGGGCGACTGAGTGAGACTCAAAAAAAAAAAAAAAGCCTTTCAGGTTGCACGGTGGAAGATATCAGCTCCTCGGTTTTAATTTGCATTTTTGCATGTGAATCATCCTTTGGTATTCTTTGCCCAATTCCTTTAGTGTCTCAGTATTAGGCTTTAAGATTTAAGGTATAAAATCTTCATCATACAGAGTGAAAAATATGGTTCTTTTTTGTCATCCATCTCTCTAGTTTGTTAGGGGTGTTTAATCTAACACTGTATTTTCTTATTTGTTATGTTTTGGGTGGAAGGAGAGAGGTCAGATCCCTTATTTTTTATCCTTGTGGTCTCTGCCTTGAGGCCCTATGTAGAGGGCCCTTTTCACATCGAGATGTATCTACAGGCTCACCTATATTTTCTTTCATTACTTTTATGTTTTTTAAAAATAATTGTCTTACATCCATTTATTTGTATGGCATAAGGTCTTTAATATTTTTCTCAAATGATTAGCGCAGTTACCATTTTTTATAAAAACAAAAGTTTACATGCTCCCTTTCTCCTACATTAAATTTTTATATATGCTTAGATCTGTTCCTGAAATGTATGATCTGTCTTACTCATCTGTCTATCCATTTCTGAGCCATGGTCACAGTTTTAAATTATTGTAGTTTTCAAATATAATTTTATTTCTATTTTTCAAATATAATTTTCTTTCTTGTATACTAGATGGCCCCGTCTTTAATTACTTAAATAAAATTTATTATCTCCTCTGAAACATTTTTTTCTCCCAGGTAAAATTTAAAGTGGAAAAAAAGCATTGCGGTTGCTGTTTTCCAGCAAACTCCTGCTGTGTTCTTGCCGCACACCCCCGCTAGCCCTGGGAGAGCCATAGGGAATGTCTCACATGTGCTGTAATCCTGCAACACTGTCACTGTGCCAATCTTGAGTGCAAATGACAGGTCCTGCCTTCTCTTTTGAGTGTGTGCTTTCCCCCATCTACCTACAGAACTGCAGCAACACAAAGAATGGAAGGGCAGAAGTTGCCTAACGTTGCCTAGTGCAAGCCTGGCCTGCGAGTCTGCTCAGAGCACAATTGCAGTTTGTAGAAGGCAGCCCCAGGGGACTCCTGGGCAGAGAGAGCTAATACCAGCTAGGTGATCACAACTCCCCAGGAATGCTGACCACGGAGGGAGGCTGTCCAAGGGTCTACGAGATGGCATCCCTCTGTAGACGGCCTCCCTCTGTGGATGGCATTCTATGGGTGAATTGATACAATTCATTCGTCTTATTCAGATTTCCCTATTATCACATTACGAGTCCTCCATGGGGACTCATCAGGATTCCTTTGTGGTCTGAAATGCAGGAAATTGAGCTCTTTGGGTCAGAAGCCAAGTTAAACAAGACAGACTCCAGATGCTCTGCAAGATGGATGCAGATGCCAGCGGCACCAAGGTTAAGGTGGGAGGCATCCACTCCACTTCCTCCCATGGGAGTCTGGTCCTTCCAGGGCCGGTGGGCACCGTTCTTCCCCATGCTGCAATGGTGTTGAACAATTCCTGGGGTAAAATAAAGTTAGTAAAGACAACAACTTTCTTATGTGATAAAAATTAGCACCAAGAACAGAGAACAAATAAGAGCAGCTTCATGGGCAAGCAACCCAGGCAGGTACACAGGTCTCCACTGTCAGAAGGGCCCTGTGCTTGGCTTAATGCTCTCCTGTCACCATCTTCAAATTCTAAATAATTGTGAACGAAGGCTCTTTCCTTTTGCATCATGAAGCGGGTCCTAATTAGCAGTATAGGAGAAAGTAGAATCTTTAATTGCAGTCAACTGGCTTGGAGTCTTCTCAAACTCAGCCTCCACTTGTGCATTATGCAGCAGTGAGGGTTGGGTCTGCATTTTGGCACCTAAAATGTGTACATTTCCATTCAGTGAATGAGTCTCCCATTCCTAACATGGATGAGGTTCCAAGATTCCTGAGGAGTTGACCTATTCCACTGTGCAATTTATCAAGCCTGAAACAAGGAACATCTGATTTGGGATTTAACAATATTGTTTTGTTTTAATTCAACAAAACAGGTTGTAGGAGGACAACATGCAAGATTCTTGTGGAAGTCTAGTCCTTCCAGGGCAGAAAGGTAGCCACTTCTACCTTTCTCCCTATGCCCATCCCTAACTCCAGCAATCACTAATTAGTACCCCCATCTTATAGTTCTGTTATTTCAAAAATGTCATACAAGAGAAACCATAAAGTATGTAGCCTTTTACAATTGACTTTCAATCAGTATAATTCCCATGAGATTCATCAGAGTTGTGGTGTGTTTCAATGCTTAATTTCTTTTTTACTGCTGAGGAATGTTTCATGGTAAAGGTATGCCAAGGTATGCAGGCCACCTGGGGGCTTTCGTTTCCATGTGGAGGAGTCAGTGGATAGGTTATGACCAGGCCACAGCTGCCAGGTGACAAGGGCATTGTGTTCTGTGGCTTGTGGCTTGGGGCAGCCTCTATCAGATGTCCCCACACAGCTAATCCTACCCACAGCCAAGATTAGAAATGTCAAAACCCTTATCCTTCTGCAAAGTCCCTCCAGCACTCTGTACTAAGAAAGCATAGCATGGGACATAGGAGAAAAGCTTAATGGAACTCTGGGATTTATCATACAGCACATACGGAAGTGTTCTTTGGAGCTGAGAGGCAATAAATTGATAACTGACATGATATACACAAACAAGCTTATTTCTAACTCTGTCTTCTGCTCAGTTTATCTGTGTATCTATCTCTTCATTGATATGACACTGTCTTCATTACTTTAGCTTAATAGAGAAAGTCTTGATATTGGGTAGAGTGATGGCTTATACTTCGTTCTTCTTCAAATTGTTTTAGGTATTCTAGCACATGTATTTTTCCATATAATTTATTTTTTATTTTTTTATTACTATACTTTAAGTTCTAGGATACATGTACAGAACGTGCAGGTTTGTTACATAGATATACACATGCCGTGGTGGTTTGCTGCACGCATCAACCCGTCATCTACATTAGGTATTTCTCCTCATGCTATCCCTCCCCTATCCCCCCAACCCCCGACAGGCCCCGGTGTGTGATGGTCCCCTCCCTGTGGCCATGTGTTCTCACTGTTCAACTCCCACTTATGAGTGAGAACATGCAGTGTTTGGTTTTCTGTTCTTGTGTTAGTTTGCTGAGAATGATGGTTTCCAGCTTTATCCATGTCCTGCAAAGGACATGAACTCATCCTTCTTTATGGCTGCATAGTATTCCATGGTGTATATGTGTCACATTTTCTTTATCCATTCTATCCATCTAATTTTATAATAAGCTTGCCAATGGCTACAAAAAAAAAAAAAACCTTGCTGGGACACTTAGAGAAATTGTATTAAACCTATATAGGAAAAAATTATCTTTATTATGTTTAATCTCCCAATTCATGAACATAGTATGTCTTTTCATTTATATAGTACTTTTTTGATTTGTTTAATCAGCATTTTGTAATTTTTTAGTATACAGATTCTATATATGTTTTGGTAAGTTTATATTGAAATGTGTCTATTTTTCTTGTTTTTCAGATTTGATAAATTCTATTGATCTGTCTTCATATTTATTCATTCTATATTTCTCATATCCACTCTACTATAGGCCCATTTAGCAAGTTTTAAAAAAAATTACTGTTATTGCGGTTATCAGTTCTATAATTTCCATTTCATTCTTTTTAAAATTTCTGTTTCTTTCTGAGATTGTCTATTTTTAAATTTTATCAAGGGAATTTGTAGTTGCTTGTTGAATCATTTTTATGGCAGCTGCTTTTAAATTCTTGTCAGACAGTTCCAACATCTGCTTCATCTTAGTGCTGGCATCAGTTGATTATCTCTCATTCAAGTTGTGATTTTCTTGGTTCTTGGTATAATGGGTGACTTCTTATTGTATTAGGTTGGTGCAAAAGTAATTGCGGTTTTTGCCATTACTTTTAACAGCAAAAATAATATTGAGAACATTTTGCCTATTGCATTTTTAGACTCTGGGTCCTATGAGACTCTTCATTTTAGGAGGCTGTTGCCAGGCTTAGGGTTAGCAGGTGGCCTGGCCTGCTTTTGTATGCTGTGGTTTCAATCCCATGCTGGTGCTCATGGTTGTGGGGTCATCCCTATGGAACTGTGTGGCCTCTCTGTGACTCTGGTTGGGAGAAGACCTCGTTGGACTTCAGGAACAAAATGTGCTGCTTGGATGGGGCTACTGTTGTTGCAGACAGCCCCTGTGAGTTCTCTCAGCTGCCCAGTGTCTCTAAGGGCCAAAGAGCATTATCCAGCCCATGCTTCCTGCTGGGCAAAGATTGCCCTGTCCATGCCACCCAATGTCCCAGTGTCTCTTGGTGGAGGAAGGGATTCTCCAGCACTAAGGGGTTAGAGTACCTCTCTAGCTGAGGCATGAGCTGGGAGGGACCTCCTAGTGCTGCCCAGCTGCCAAAGCCTCTAGCTGGGAGAGGTGAGCTCAGGGCCAGTGGTGAAGGAGCATGTTCCTTCAGAGAGAGCCAGACCCCCACGCCTGCTGCCAGGCTCTCTGGTGTTGTCAGCAGGACTCTTCTTTGATCTGGGGCAGGGAGGAGCCTGCCCAGGTTGGCCTTCATTGCTAGGCTGGGGGCTCAAGGAATGCAGGGTCTGGGTCACCTTCTGTTGTTGGGGTCAGGGGTGTAGGACTCTCTGGCGCTATTTTGTTCCTCTAGTCCTGGGGTTGCTGATCAGTTTGCCCTCCTCTTTCTCCCTTTCAGAGTCCTGTGGTGGCTTCTTCTGCCATTTCAAGGGCTTAGAGTTGTTCTTAGGGGGAGAAACAAGGAGAGAAACTGGCTGAGGGAGCGGAGAAGAAAATTTCACACAGGGAGTGACAGGAACCATGTGTGTTGGGCATGTGGTGTGTGAGTGTCTGTGTGTGTATGCAGTGTGTGCATAAGTGTGCATAAGTGGGTTTGAAATATACGAGTTTAGCCTGCCATATATTACACAATGAGTCAAGTGTCAATTATCAGTCTCTCTGGCTTTCCTCTATTACCATAGATCAACAAAATTGAATTTTGATAGTCTTCCAAGGAACTGAGATTGCCACTTAGCTCTCCTTATATTAATCATAGCATAAAGCGAGCTACAAATATTTTGGAATTAAATGGCTGTGCTGCGAACTGATATTCATTCATTTCTTTGACATATGACCATGGTAGTAATAGCAGATGTGGCAATGGCTTCAACTGAGCCCCTGGTGTGAGCCCCTTCTCCTCTAAGTCCCCTTTCCTGTGTGAGAAGACTCTGTTTCAGAGCAGTGGCCACCCCGTGTCCCTCCTTAAGCCCAGGTGACTGTGGACAGAGACCCCTGTGTTCCAGGAGCCAATAGTCTAGAGAATATGAATCATGTAGGGTTTTTGATATGCATTTTTCATTCTCACTCCTGAGTTCATGAACTTCCCCTGGTCATACTAGGCACCTACTTGCTTGGGATTGTGTGTATGGGTGTGCAGATTATAGCTTCCCATAGGAATTGACACCAAGTCTACTGACGCCAATTCTTAGGTTTATCAAAAGAAATAATGTTTTCTAAATTTCTTTAC
Organism: Homo sapiens; assembly: GCF_000001405.40. NCBI lineage: Eukaryota > Metazoa > Chordata > Mammalia > Primates > Hominidae > Homo > Homo sapiens. The sequence goes on from NW_025791787.1 coordinate 309,589, forward strand.
TGTATCAAGGACAAAGCCTATTGAAACCAGATCATTGAGTTACTTTTAAGAGTTTGAGAAGTTGCCCTCACCCTTTGGCAGCCTGGCCTTTGTGTCTGCTGGGAGAAGTGAGAGGAGGTAGAAGGGATAGGTGGGCAGAGGGAAGAGAGAAGGAGAGACAGGGGGAGGAGGAGATGCTCACGTAGAGCTCACTCTGGTTCAGATGAGCTTGAGTAAGGACAATGCTGGGGTCAGAGGGCTTTGGGGATGCCTATCACTGCTGGTCAGCTGCCCACATGCCAGCTGGGTTCAGCCACATCACAGCCCCCATAGTGCTTCAGCTTGGACCAAGAACCAAGGGACTCTGAAGCCATGCTGTGTCCCCTTGACATAGTGGGACCAAAGTGGGCCAAGGGTCCCTCTGGAGGGGCCACTGTGGGGTGGTAGTAGAGTGGCCCTGAGAGTGGGAGTGGCAAGGTGGTCCCCTGAACTGATGCCATCACAAGGGTGGTCTCCAGGGGCAGCAAAGGTTGCCTGAAGCTGGATCCCCAGATCTGGGCAGGGAAAGAGGGAGGAACAAAGACTCCAGTCTTTGTGGGCTGCCTGGATCCTATAGACACCAGGCGGGGAGATCAGAACCGCACAGGCTGGTGAGGGGCCATTTGAAAAATGAGGCTAGGGAGGGGTAGAATCTGAGATTCAAGGCCCGTGACCCCTAGGTGCTGTGAGACTGGCTCTAGAGCCTTTTTCTTGTTATACTGTGAGTGGATATTCTCAAGGAAGGTTGCTGTGGACTGAAGGTTTGTGTCCCCCCAAATTCACCCAAATTCATCTGTTGAAATCCTAAACCCAAGGTGACAGTATAAGGAGGTGGGGCCTTTGGGAGGTGATTAGGTCATGAAGGTGGCACCCTCATGAATGAGATTAATGGCTCTATAAAAGAGACCCCAGAGAGACCCTGCACCTCTTCCATCATTTGAGGCCACGGTAAGAAGGTGCCATCTATGAGGAAGGGATCCTCACCAGACATGGACTCTATCAGCCCCTTGATCTTGGACTTTCCTGCCTCCAGAACTGTGAGAAATACATTTCTGTTGTTCATAAACAAGCCAGCCTATGGCATTTTGTTATAGCAGCTTGGATGAACTAAGACAGAAAATTAGTACCAAGGAGTGGGGACTCCTGTACCAAATACCTGCAAGTGTGGAAGTGGCCCTGTAACTCAGTAATGCATAGAGACTGGAAGAATTTTAAAGTTCTAGCTAAGAAAAGCCAATGGATGGAGCAGTAAGGGTGATTCTTGTGAGGGATCAGAGGGAGAAGAGAAGAGCTGTGGGGAATCTTCTGTCTTCCAGGAAAACACTTAAGTGTTTGATAACAGAATGCTGGTAGAAATATGAACAGTAAAGGCCATTCTGATGAGGTCAGATGGAAATGAGAGACACATGATTGGACCGTGGAGGAAAGGCCATCCTTGTTATAAAGTGGCGAAGAACTTTGCTGAATTGTGTTGTTGTTCTAGGTTTTTGTAAAAGGTAGAACTTGTGAGTGATGAAATTGGATATTTGGTTTCAAAATTTGAATATTACGAAATTTCTACAGAAGATGTTGAAGGCATGGCTTGGCTTCTCTTGAGTACTTATAGTAAAGTGTGAGAAGAGAGAAATGGCTTAAAGACAATGTTGATCAAAAAGGAAACAGAACTAAAAATTGCGGAAAATTCTCAGCCTATCCATATTGTAGAGAATGAAAAAGCATGTTCAGGAGAGAACAGTAAAGGTGTGGCCAAGCTACTGTTTGATAAAGAGATTTGTATGAGTTGGCATCTCAAGGGAAGCCAGGTACTATTTATCCAGACAATGGAAGATGACCTAAAGGTGGAGATCATTGGGGCTGCCCTTCCCATCACAGTCTTAGAGTGCAAAGGCCTGGGTGGAGAAAGAAGGCCACTGTTGCCCAGTGCTACCTCATATTGCGGGCTCTTCTTACTTCATTTCATTTCAGCGCAGCTGTTGAGCCTCAAAATAGTGTGCCTGGTGCCTGGCAAAGCTGAGGGAACATCACTGTTTCCACTTAGATTTTAAAGGATGCCCCCAAAAGCCACAGGGCCAAGGCAGAGACCTGCTGCAGAGGTCAGGCCACCCCAGAGACCCCAGCAGAGCCATGGAGGTGGGCTGTTCCTGAGACCCTGTACTAGAAGAGCCACAGAAGCATGATTCCAGGCGAGGAGAGCTGGGGGCGTTACCCAGGCACAGAGCTACTATAGAGGTGGGGCCATGGCAGAGAATAGACTCAGGGGCAAGCCCACTGCCCTAGTGGGCTTACATGGCAGAACTTCCAGCCAAAGATGATTCTGAGGCTTTACGGTTTTAGATTTACTTGGGACCAGTTATCCCTTTCTTCTTTCCTAGTTCTCCCTTTTGGAATGAGAATGTCCGTCCTATGCCTGTTTCACCGTTGTAATTTGGAAGCACATAACATGTTTGATTTCAGAGGCTCACAGTTAGAGGGGAAATTACCTCAGGATGCATTGTACCTGGAGTCTCACCCATACCTGTTTTAGATGAGACGCTGGGCTTTATTTTGTTTTTGTTTTTTTGAGACAGGATTTTGCTCTGTTTCCCAGGCTGGAGTGCAGTGGTGCAATCACAGCTCACTGCTGCCTTCACCTCCCGGGCTCAAGGAAACCTCCCAGCCCAGCCTACTGAGTAGCTGGAACTACAGGTGTATGCCACCGTGCCTGACTAATTTTCATATTTTTTTGTAGTGATGCGGTCTTGCTATGTTGCCCAGGCTGGGATCAAACTCTTGGGCTCAAGTAATCCACCTCCCAAAGTGCTGGAAGTACAGGTGTGAACAACTGTGCCTGGCCTAAGACTCTGGACTTTATACTTTTGAGCTGATGCTAGAAAGAGTGAAGACTTTAGGGGCTATTTGGATGGAATGAATATATTTTGCATGTGAGAAGGGCATAATTTGAGAGGCCGGGAACAGAATGCTGTAGACCAAATGTTTGTGTTCCCACCAAATTTGTATGTTGAAATCCTAACCTCCAAGGGGATGGTATTAGGAAGTGGGATCTTTGGGAGGTGATTAGGCAATAAGGGTGGATCCCTCATGAATGGGATTAGTGCCTTTGTAAAGGAAACCTCAGACAGCTAGCTGGTACCTTCCACCATGTGAGGAGACACCAAGGTGCCATCTATGAACCAGAAACTGAGCCCTTACCAGTCACATAATCTGCTGGTGCCTTGATCATGGACTTCCGGCCTCTAGCTATGAGAAATGAATTGCTGTTTATAAGCCACCCACCCAAGCCACCATGCTCTTTGGAAATAAAGAGTGTAGGATGAAAAACCATGAGACATGTATGTAATTAAGAGCCTACAAGTACCAAAAACCAACAAAACAAAACAAACCAGTCCTTTTCAGGAATAAAGATGATCAGCTGGGCAGGAAACTGCGAGCTCTGGTCTCAGGCTCCTCATGCTCATCCCAGCCCCTGAGAATCAGATGCAGTCTAATTCCCAGCAGAGAAGCAGATCAGGGCTTGGACACACCTCTTATTCTCTTTCTACATTTCCTACTAGTCAAACAATAAGAGCAAAGAACTGTGAAATATTGGTTAGGTTATATGCTGTGGTTACTTTGGTTTTCAGAAAAATATTTGTGGACAAAATAAGGATTTGGGAACTGCAATCTAAGAGGGAAATAACTCTTTCCCCCACTGTCAAAGATAAAAACCACACATATTGCATGAGTATGCTTATGAAAACATACTCCCTCCTTCATTCACTCAGCAAATGTGTCCTGCACCCAGCCCTCCTGTGGTCCAGGCTCCTGTGTGCTGGAGCACAGGGAAGTACTGCTTGAGGCTGTGGTTTGAGCTCCCAGTCAGGGGAAGATGGACAGGTGAATTTAGGGGATTCCAGAACAGCTCTTGCTGTGACAGTGATGGCCAGGGAGCTAACAAAGGGGACCCGAAGGTCCTTAGAACAAGGGAGAGGGCCAGGAGGCCTGGGTTCTTTTCCAGAGTCAGAGAGACCATCTCAGTGGGCAGATAGAGGGGCTTGGGGCCGCACACACATGGGCAGCACAGATTTCAGGCAGGTGACAGAGACAGCATTTGTGCAAAGCATGTACGTAGGGACAGAGGCCCAGAGGTGAGGGGACAGCGGCAGCGTACATGGACGGAGGCTCCTCAGAACTGTATCTCCTCTTTTCAGCAAGTGGGTGCATGAAGGTCCCCGTAAAGGAATGGTACCCAGGCCAGGAGACTGTCTAGAGGCCATACTGAGGCCCGAGTCCAAAGCCATGAGACTGTTGGTTTGGAAGAGAAGCGAGGAGGCTCAGTGCACTGATTCCAACCCCGCAGGCAGTAGGCAAGGGTGCCTGAAGGGAGGGACCCTGGTGGGGCACTGAGAGGGCGCTGCCCTCACTTGCCCTGGGTGCATCTCTGCGTGCTCCTGAATAGCTGTGGCCCCCTCCTTGAGCACCTGGAAGAGCACCCAGTCTCTCATCCTGCAGAAGAGGTGGCGTGGAAGAGCAGGGCCAGAATATCCATGAGGACAGTGGTGAGCAGTGCAGGCTTCCAAGGGCAACAGTAGAGACAGGATCATTGTCACAAATGGAGTTGAGATATGCATGCGGATGCATGTGCTGAGGATGGGGGCTGGGGGGCCCTGGAGGTGGATGTGGATGGGTTTACAGAAACAGGAGGAAAGAGGTAGGAAAGGGCAGGATTCAAAATCCTACAGGAGGATAGACCTAGTTCAGGAGCGAGGGACTGACCTCCCAGGAGGGAAGGTGGTGAAGGAGCATCACTCTCAAATTCCTGATGCCGTGGGAGGCCTGCCAGTGGCCGGCACAGTCTGAGGTTGCCAGGCGCACAGGGATGCCTCGTCATGAAAGGCACCATTCTTGCTGCAGGCGACGTGGGTTTACATCATTTCAGGACATAGTGGAACTGCATCCTGATCTGCCCTTGGGCACCTTATGGAGCCTGAAATCCAGGGCATCTGCTGAGTGGGAAGGGGACTGAGAGGGGGGATCTTCAGGGGCTCTGTACAACTTGGAACTAAAGCAAAAAAAGACGGAGAAAGGAAAAGGCTGCCACAAGCAGTAAACGTCTCCTCTTTCTGTTTTTCCCAAGCGATTTCAGAAACTGCTTGTGACTGTTATCATTCTGGAATATTATCCAAGAGACCATTGTTCCCCAGGGAAAGAAAGTAACAGACAAGAAACTTTGGATCTGGACCTATGCCGTCACAAATGTGCTGTTTTTATAAAACCTGACAGTCCGGGACAGCCTAATTAAAAAAAAAAATAAAAATAAGGGATTTAATTCCCTTGGTATTGCAAAATACTCAGCAAAATAATCTCTTTCTGTACCCCATGTCAGATTTTTTTTAAAGTGCTGATGAAATGCAGACCTTGGCAATTTTTGTTTAATCCAAACCCAGAAGGACTGGCTATCAGCTCATGGCCATCAGTTAATGCAGGGCTTGTAAGGCCATTTATCAATCGAGTTCATGAGCTTGAATCTGTGCCAGCCATTTTCTCTCATAAAATGATATAGCCCAGCCCTTGTTCTTGCTGAAACTGGGGGTGACAGCGTCTGTTTGTGCACATTCTGGGCTGATGCAGGCCATGGAAACAGCTGGTGCAGGTGTTGCTGGCTTTGACTGAAATCCACGGCCCACCACGGCATCGTAGATGCATGTGCATTAGTTTGAGCCTAGACTCCTTAGGAGTTGTGTGGCATTCAGTAACTGACTTAACTTCCCTGTTTCTCACAAATTAATGAGAGGTCTTAATACATTTCTCATGGAGCTAATGCCTATTGAAAGAAAATAAAGCTTTTTCACCTGTAGCACAGCCAGGCACACAAGCTATAAGTATGAGTGATCATTATTACTTATTCTTCATTAGCATTTCCCAATGTGTTATATAATTGTTATTCAAAGGAAAAATATCTTACAAAACTCCAGTTACTGCTGGGGCATGACAGCCCTAGCCATAGTTCCAGGCACCCTGAGATCCATGTACCTGTGATGAGGTTTAGTGGCATCGGCTCTATATTTCTCATGAAGCTGTAGGACAATGAACTGAGACAGTAAATAAGAAAGCACCTTATGCATCATCAAACCACACACAGGCACGGGGTGAGGTATGCACTCCATGGCAACAGCAACCGGGGTTAATAGATTACATTCACCCAGCTCCAGTGAATGTGTCAGGGGATGAGATGCCCCCAGCAGTTACTACGAGAGCTGTGAGAACAGAAGAAGTCAGCACTGCAGCCTAGAGCCCTCAAGGGGCACTTGGAAGGTCGTCCAAGCCGAATTCCCTCCCCTCAAGGCTGGGGCAGAGACTCTCTATCTTCTATGTCTAATGACTAACCACAGTGGGTGTTCAAAATCAACTCCAGACATGGCTCCTCCCTACCGTCAGAGTGGAGATGACCCAGGAGGAAGGCTCATGGGCTCTGGGCCATCTCTATGCCAAGGTCTGTTTCCTTGGGGCAGCACAGGGCACATCAAGGATTTATTCTCCCTGTGGAAAAGAAAGGTGTCAAAGTGGGAATGCTTATGTTGAAATATGTGCTGGGCACTTCCTGTGTCTGCACTGACCACTTCTAGAGGGCATCTGGGGAGCTTGGACCTGTCTGGCCAGGGCTGGCAGGCATTGTTTCCCTAGGTTCTTTCTCATCCTCAAGCCCTGACCAAGCCTCAGCCCTGACTTCTGTTCCCTCCAGCCAGTCCTCCTCCTGGCCCAGGCTCTTTGTCATACAAATGCCTCTGGGCTCTTTCTTCACTTTGCTGTTCCACATGGCACACATCTCCTGTCTCTCCACCTAGGAGGCCCCTAAGTCTCTGTGGCCTGCGTCTTTCCCTAAAATCTCTCTGTGAAGCCACTGACATTGTCACTGTGCTCACACAGTGTTTGTGCAGCCAGGTGGGGCTGGAGAAAGGACTCTGAACTTGGGGGGTGGGTTTTGTATTCCACCCCCATCACTTGGCAGTTCTGTGACCTTGATCATGGTCTTTGGAACACTTGGGTTTTTTTTTTTTTTTTTTTTTTGAGACAGGGTCTCTCTCTGTCACCCAGGCTGGAGTACAGTGACACAATCATGGCTCACTGCAGCCTTGACCTCCAGGGCTCAAGCGATCCTCCCACCTCAGCTTCCCAAGTAGATGAGTAGCTGGGACTACAGGTATGTGCCACTACACCTGGATAATTTTTGTATTTTTTTGTAGAGACAGGGTCTCACTATGTTCCCCAGGCTGCTCTTGAAATCCTGGGCTCAAGCGATCCTCTAGCCTTGGCCTCCCAAAGTGCTGGGATTACAGGCATGAGCCACCACACTTAGCCTGAAACTCTTGTTTATTGATATTTTCCCATGCTGGTCTCCTTATAATTCTGACTCAGTGTTCTTATCTCTATTTCACAGATGAGAAAACCTTGTCTCAGAAAGTGGGTTTTCAGGCTTACAGACCCTGTGAGCACCATGGGTAGAGTGCCACATCCGACATCTAGGCACCCAAGCCAGCACTTCGGGATGTGCCGATGATGCTTCTCATCTTGGCTCTTCCAGTATGGAATGGGGTGATGACCCCTGCTTCTCAGAGTTGTTACGAGGATCAAATGAATCTCCAGTCTTACTGGACTGTGGGGTTCACAGGAGATGCATGCTTTATCCACAGCAGTTGTCCTAGCATCCAGAACTGGGCCTGGTGCATAGAATAAGTGCAAAATAAGTATTTATTTAAGTGGACCACATAAGCAAGCCCTCTGCTCAGCACCTGGCAAAAGGCAGGCATTCCATAAACTATAGTTGTAGGAGGAGGATTTTTACATATATACTCAGCCAAGTTACTCATCATCTATTTTCATCTACCTTTTGTGGTCAAGCGCCCTTAGTGCCCAGTATGGAGCCTGGCACACACTGGCCACTTAACAACCATGTGTTTGTGCTGCTGAGGAGGGTGGTGGCCACATGCAATATAGAAGGGGCATGCCCGCCCTTCAAATATAGCAGTCCTGAACAAGTGGATCCACATAGAGAAAATGAACACATTTATTTATGCTCGCTCTTGTTAGGCAATGTAAACGTATTTTGCTGTGATTCATTTAATTCCCTCACACACACAAAAACAAAGGGCTCTGCTCTTTTTACAGATGAGGAGACTGAAGCCTCAAGGAGTTGAGTTGTTCACAGGGCATGAAAATTAAGTGAATTATAGAAAAAATAAGTTTACAATGCCTAACATACAGTAAGCACTAAATAAGTGTTTTGATTTTCTTTATTTGGAAAGGGTTGTTTGCTCTAATCCACTGCTCCATGTAGCCACTGGGACATCTCCACTGATTGTGGGTAGAGGGGAAGGCCACGTCCTGAGAAGACCTTCTCCAGGGGAAGAAATGCCCTGAAAACCACCCAAAGGAGCTGCTCTTGATGCGTTGAAACAGAAAAAGAGAACAAAGAACATCTGGGGGTTCTTCCTCCTTTTCCAAGCACAATGCAGGCTGCCATTTTCCATTTAAAAGCTTAAAAAAAATTGTAGTTAATAAGAGAAAAAAAATCCCTCACAATTCTTAGGGGAAATCCAAAGACAGTTATTCTCATCATATTTTGAGGAAGTCTTGAATCCTTCACTGGCTGATATCAGATTCTCAGAAAGCAACTGACCTGCAAAAGCCATTAAACAGCCTCATCTGGATGGGGGTTTTGAGAATGAAATACGGCAGAAAAATAAACCCAGACAATGGAGCCTTCGAAGGGGGCCTCCAAGAGCACACACAGACAGGCAGGCACACATGTTGAGGAAGGTCTGCAGCTTCCCTGATCTCCCCTCCAGGCTCCCAGGTTCTGGAATGTTGTGCATTTCCACTCCAGCAGGACAAGGTGAATCTCAGAGGAATGTTACATTTCCCCGACGGGCCACTTCCTTTCTAGCAGGAGAGGAGCCCACGCTGGAATGTGTTCCCAGGGCTGCTTTTAGGGCTTTTCACTAAAGTAAGACTCTTTCCATAATAATGAAAAGAATATGAACTCACATTTGCAGATTATCCTGGATGATTTACTTTGTTCAATGGCCTCAGCTCTATAGTTGTGGGAAATGAGAACTAGAGAGAGAAGTAACTTGCCAAGTTTGCCTAACTGATAGATGGAGCCAGAACCAGAACCCCCCTCACAGACCACACCCTCCATCACTGTCAACGTTGTACTGCCTCCAGTCACCTATCTACAAAACATTACCTGGGTAGTTTGAAAATTCACAGAAGATCTTGTCTCTTCCTTGCTTAGACCCTTCTGCATTAGCCTGTTCTCGCATTGCTATAAAGAAATACCTGAGACTGGGAAATTTATAAATAAAAGAGGTTTAATTGGCTCACGGTTCTGAGGCTGTACAGGAACCATGATGCTGGCATCTGCCCAGCTTCTGGGGAGGCCTCAGGAAGCTTACAGTTATGGAGGAAGGCAAAGTGGGAGCAGGCACTTCGCATGGCTGGAACAGGAGCAAAAGGAGTAGTGGGGGAGGTGCTGCCGATGTTTAAATAAGAACTCGTGAGAACTCACTCATTATCAAAAGAACAGAACCAAGGCGATGGTCCTAATCCATTCATGAGAAACTGCCCCCATGATCCAGTCGCCTCCCACTGGGTCCCACCTCCAACACTGGGGATCAAAATTGAACATAAGTTTTGGGTGGGGACACAGATTAAAACCATATCACCTTCCATTCCCACTAGCTTGGATGAAGCTCAAGCATTCTTTTGTGGCTCATGGCTTCCTGGGCCAGGTCCACACAAACCATTCAGGGCAAGTGATAATGGATAGTCCATATATCATATCTCTGCATATTTTAAAGCTCTGGTCTCAGCCCAGCCCCCAGCCCAAAGGAGAACCCTTTGTGCTCAGGTACTCAAGTTTTCATGTCCTTGCAAGTGAATATTCTGGCCTGAACATCCAACCTCTGAGCACACGTGTGTGGACACCTGCCTGGATTCCCACTTGCTTTGTTCACCCACTGAACTCCCAACTTCCAAAATCTGCGTATGGCTCTTACCACACTTACCACACTGTTGTCCACATGTCTGTGCTCAGCTACCCCTTGAGCCCAGGGTACATACTGGACAGTTGGTCAGTCCTCAGGAAGAGACCTACAGGAAGTGGGTTTGGGATGTTTGGGCAGTGAATTCTGGGTTTTGGGGTGTCACAAGCATGATCTAGAAGGAGGGGTACAGGCCCAAGGTGGGCACACCCCCTCTGCAGAAACGGACTCAGCAGAGCAGGACCAGTGTGGACTCTCTAAAGGCCAGCCCATCCTCCTCCTTTCAGGCTGAGGGCCTCCCTGGCCAGGCCCAGACCCAATGTCTGGCCTCATTTCCTGCTGTATGATGCCAGCCTTTGTAAGTCACTTGCAGTCCCCAAGAGCAACCTCTGTCTCATATCCCCATGGACCCATTTTTTATTATATGCCTGCCTGGGATCCCCCACTTGCTTTGTTCATCCACTGAACCCCCAACCAACACCAAAACTCCAGTCTGGCTCTTACTCTGTTGCACAATGATGATTTTATAGTCTGCCTTCCAGACCAGATGGATGTTCTCAGTCCAAGCACAATGCCCAACATAGGGTTGATATTTAATCAACGTATTGCCTGAATGAATGATTTTACTTGCCCTGCATTCTAGAAAAAATGAGAGACTAGCTTTTGTTCAGAGAGTCACAGAAAAAAAAATAAGGAAGGCTGGAATAATATGTGCTTATGTCATCTCCCTCCAGGCAGGTCTTGGCTGAAGGGCAGCAACTGTGGTCTGATCACCTCTTAAAGATCTTACCACTTAATATTGTTGTGTTGGGGATTAAGTTTCCAATGCATACCTTTTGAGGGATACATTCAAGCCATAACAGGCTTCAACATATTTCAGAATTTGAGGACAGGCACAAATATTCAGTTTATAGCTACAGGTGAAGGAATTCTCCTAGAAGAGAGAAAAAAGACAGCAAATAAAGAAGACAAAAGACCTAGAAGATAAATCTGGTGGTCAAACCATTAAAAAACAGAAATTCTAGATGAAGTGAAAAGGAAAAGATTAAGGGGAAGAAATTACCAAAAAAATTTCTCTAAATGGAAGTACATGCATCTCAAGATTGAACATATCCTTGAAAAGTCTACCACAATTAAATTTAAAAAAACAAAAACAGTCCAAGGTACATAATTATGGAATTTCAGGACACAACTGCAAAATAAAAACTAAGGCCAGGTGCGGTGGCTCACGCCTGTAATCCCAGCACTTGGAGAGGCCGAGGCGGGCGGATCATGAGGAGATCCAGACCATCCTGGCTAACACGGTGAAACCCCATCTCTACTAAAAATACAAAAAAATTAGCCAGGCGTGGTGGCGGGCACCTGTAGTCCCAGCTACTTGGGAGGCTGAGGCAGGAGAATGGCATGAACCTGGGAAGCGGAGATTGCAGTGAGCCGAGATCGTGCCACTGCACTCCAGCCTGGGCCACACAGCAAGACTCCGTCTCAAAAAAAAAAAAAAATTTGAAAACTCCAAGAGAAAAACAGATCACCTTTAACAGAACATAACTAAGAATGTCATTAGCCTGCATGAGGAAGGCAATAAAGCAATGCCTTCAAAATTCTGTGGAAGAATAATTTGGAGTGTAGAATTCTAATATCCACAGCAGATATTAAATAAGTATGATTACAGAGTGAAGACATTTCAGGCATGCAAGAACTCAAAATGTTTACTTCTTATTCAGTCTTTCCTCAGAAGTTACTTAAGGTTGCACTTATCTAAAATGAAATACTAGATCAAATCCACCAAATAGAGCAATGTGTGAGCTTTTAGAAGCTGTTGAGCAGTCCTGGAGAACAGCCAGCCAAGACCAGGAAGGATTCCAGGAAGGACCTGAAACAATGAAGTTTGGAGGTAAAATAAAGACTATTAAAGAGGAAGACATTGCTTGATAAGAAGTCAAATTAACAAAAAAAAAACCTCTAGAAAACCAGACTCAAAAGAAGAGGAAATTGTGGTAAACCACAGTCGCATAAGAGCAGGGTAATGTAAGTGCCCTCTGTCTAACTTAAAGTAGTGTTATGACTATACTTCAAGATAGATAAAGGGAGATGAAATGTAGTTTGAGAGAGCTAGCTTCTCAATTATCAGAAGTTAAATAATATCTAAATATTGAATGAACCAAAAATGTAAGCATACTACTTAGAGTTGTAAATGTAACTACCCTAAGAAATAGCTAAAAATGTTGAAGTGTGGTTATTACTGGGAAACATGATATATTTGTTTAAGCAGGATTTTTATATGACAATATTTTTTATTTATATAATGATACTTTAACCATATATCACTCTGATAAAAATGTCTTAAAAGTTTATTTTAATATACTTGTAGTTTGGCTTCAATTTTTATTTTATATTTCATTTCAGAAACTAATGTGACACCCATGTCAACCATTCTTGAGCTGCATTAACGTACAAAGAGACTTGAGCAATTTGCCTACTTTTCATCGAGCAAAATTTTGTTTCCCAAATCCAATTATTCAATCTCTAAATTGCTTGCTTCCCACTTCCTTTTCGTCATAGTCTCTTTATATTAATACCAAACTTGGCTTTTTTTCCTTCCTTTTATGGCCTCTCAGCCCAAACCACCAGTCCCTAGATAACTAATTATCTGTGTCCTCTGGCCTCATCCCAACTTTTTAGGGCAGTGAGCTAACACTTCTTTTTGTATGTTAGGAGTTCTCAACTTTTTTGAAGAAACATGGTGCTTTCTAAAATAAATGGGAGAACATAAGACAAAGCAAAGCCAGAAGAAATTAATTTTCTTTGGAAAATCCCAAAAGTCAGGAAAGTTTTCTGAAGACTGAATATTCTTCACCACTCATTTTCACTTTTATTCATTCAACATTGTTTGAACCTTCACCCTGTAATGGGCTCTTTAGTGGCATCATGGCTACTAATGTGAGGAAGGTATGGAGAGCCACCTAACAGGGCTCTGCTCTTCTCTCCGCTGCATGTTCCACAGGCGCTCATGGCAAAACTCACCCAAATCTCTTCATGGTGACCACTTGTTCAGCCTTATATCTTCCCTCACAAGCATAGCCCTTTTCTGAGACTTGCATTTGCTTTAAAATTTTGAATTTCCAAATTCCCAATATGGTTTACTTCATAATTGAGACATAAAGTTCACTGCAGAAGAGAAGATACCCCCACAAGTCAGAAAATGCTCTTTAATTGTTTATTAAAAATGAAAGAGTGGAAATTATTGTGCAAATCCAAATAGAACAAATCTAAAAAATCCATACCAAGACACATTGTAGTCAAATTTCTGGAACCTAAACAAAGAAAAATTCTTGAAAGCAGTGTGAGAGAATGACACCTTAACCTATAGAGGAAAAGTCACTTAAATGAAAGATAATATCTCATCAGAAACCATGGAGACCAGAAGTAAGTGGCTTAAATTTTCTTTAAAGTACTGGGAAAAGAAACCCTACCAATAAGCATTCAGTATCCAATGAAAATATTTTATGGGGATGAAAGGAAAATCAATCATTCTCAGATGAATTTCAGAAATCATCATTCTCAGATGAAGTAAAAACTAAGCAAAATTTTTACCAATACTCCTACCCTAAAAGTATGGGTAACGGACATTCTTTCAATATAAAGGATATGATAAAAATAAGAAATCTTGAAACATTAAAAAAAAGGTGAATGGGGAGAGTAAAAATATGGTGAATACAATAGAATTTCCTCCTCCTCTTGAGTTTTCCAAATTATGTGTGATATTGGAGCAAAAATTCTGACACTCTGATATTGTTCTCAATGTATGTTGAGAAAATAATTGATATAATCATAAACTGGAAAGGATAAAAAATATGCTAAATAAAGGAAAGTTTCTATACCTAATTTGAACTGAAAAAATGTTGAAGCCTTTAGACTATAGAATTATATATATAACAAATATATAATAAACATATTTTATATATAAAAAATATATTTCTATACATAATGCAATTCTATATATAATATAATCATATATATATATATATATATATGATTCCATTATTGATTTCTGCATTGCAGAAATTTGATCCTCCTTCTCTGAGAGGGAGCCGGTTTTCATTTCCTTTAGTCTAAAGGCTTCAACATTTTATCAGTACAAATTAGGTGTAGAAATCTTCCCTTCTTCATCATGGCACCCAGGAAGAGAATTCTAACTCAGAATATCTTGGCTAAAACCACAACATTGAGCATGGAATTCATTCCTGTGCAGTTTCTCCATGCTAGTCTGTGTCACTAATGATGGTATCTAAGAAGCTATGGAAGAAGGACGAAAGTCCTATTTTTTCTTTTGTATTAGAGATGATTAAGATGTCATGTCTTTCCCACCAGCTTTTCCCTTTCTCTTGATATGAAGAGTGTTGAGATTTTGAAAAGCAAGGAAATAGAGAATAGAAATCTCAGATTCTTTTCCTCTTATTTATTCATTGCATAAAATAGTTACTGAACACATCACAGGTGCCCGGATGAACGTTCAAAGCTGGGAATACTATGGTGAGCAATGCACAGTCTTGGTCTCATGTTGCTTCCTGTCTAGGATGCTTCCCAGTCACTTACTTATGCTTCTTGATCTGACAAAAAAAAATGTAAGTACAAGAGTGAGTAAATGGCAACTACCCCAGAAATGTAAGCACTGGTCCCTGTGAATTATGTGAAAGAAAGGAGATAGTGAAAGCTCAAGTGTTATGAGCATGCAACCTTCAACCTGTTGTTTGCCTAAGGCCTTAAAATCCTTTTTATAAGCCAACTCTTTACTAGCAGGTTAGAAGATAAATTTATGTTTCTTCTTTTGTTGGAAAGTCATAGTAAAGTAAATTCTAGCTTCTTCTTGGGAGAAGTCCTTTTGTTTCAGTGGACTTAGAAGTAACTTACAATCTAAACTCCTGAGAAAGCACACTGTAGGACTGCACAAAAAGCTCAAGGTAGTAGGAATACATGGATTTTTGTCTTAAGGTTAGAGCAAAGTTTTCAAAAAGGAATTCTGAAGTTACAATTAAAATTATCTACTTGGAGGGAGCCTCTTGGTGGAAATTCATGAGAGATGAAGCAGCATCTTCAAACAGAATCATCTTCCTAAAGACGGTGTGCACTTTCACAACCACGAAAACTAGGGGTCTACCGAGTGGGATAGAAACCAACTTCATTTAGACTAACAATTCGTTTTCTCTCTCCTTCCTTTCTCCCTCCCTCCTTCCCTCCCTCCCTCCCTGCCTGCCTGCCTGCCTGCCTGCCTGCCTGCCTTCCTGCCTTCCTTCCTTCCTTCCTTCCTTCCTTCCTTCCTTCCTTCTTTCCTTCCTTCCTTCCATCATCCGAGTTGTCAGAACCAGAAACCATGATCTCCCAAGGGCAGCAAGTATGGTTTAGTTGACCTTGCTCTTTCAATACTTGCCACGTAGCAAGTGTTTTAAAAATTAAAGGATGCAAGAAATTCTTTAATCTTTGAAGGGAAAAAATTAAAATGATTGCATATATAACTTTCTCCCTTCCCTACCATCTATAGGGTAATATTTGTTTTCTCCCCACTTTACAGGTCTCTGTTTCACAAAGAAATGAAATAAATGGATACCCTCAATTGAAGATGGGAAAAACATATTCTAAATGAAAAATTGCATGGAGGTCTTTGGGGAGAATAACAGATGCTGTGGATTAAAACAGGGAGTCACACAGCTGGTGGGCTGCGGGAGAAGACTCTGGGCCATTTGGGTGAGGGAAAGGGTAAAGAAATGGGCTTTAGGACAGAAGTCTAAAGAGAGAATTTCTGGGTGCTTTGCTCTGTTCTGTGCATCTGCTGCCCTCTCAGGAAAAGCCCATCTTAGAGGGCCCTGGATTGGGTGCTTGGGTGCTCAGTGGGACTGTCCTGAAAACAGGAGCAGGACAGCACAGGTCTATGTGGGTTACAGATCTTTGCATCTTGCAATGCTTCCCATCTGCCACCGCAGATACATGGCCCTGTCAAAGCCAAAGCTCACATAGACACTGTCAGCAAACAATTCAGTGTTCATGAAAAAATCTAGAACTTAGTAATAGTACATATATTTGTTTCTGTGAGTCCAGAGAGTGATCATGTAAGTGTGTGAGGATGTAATCCCTCACATGTGGAATAAAAGGGTCATGTTTCATTCAGCATTGAATCACCCTTAACAAATAATCGACGAGGAAGCCCGCTGTTGCCTGCCTCAGTGGACGGGGCTACCAGGAAGCATACAAAGGCTCATCACAGCAGAAATTCATTCTGTGGAAAATGTGATCAAGATCCATTTCAAATGCCAGAGCCCTGCTTTATTTGACAAATTCAACAATCCTGAGATGATTGGTCATGGATTCAAGGCCTAAGCAAAACTGGCTTCCAGCAAATTCCATAGGCCCTTGTTTTGACCTCTTCTGAAAATGGTAGGTATCACATTTCACCAATCATTTTTCTTTACAGTAATAACCAAAATGAAAGCTTATTTTAATTTCTCTAAATAGTCAAAGGTTTCTCTTGTTTTCCTACATATTTCGGGTGTCTGGGGCTCTCTACCTGACTCAGATCTCTTAGATTATCTTAGTAATCAACTCAGCCTTGAGGAGTTCTCTTCCCAGAAAAAGCTAAGGCTTTGCTGCTGAAAGCCAGCATGTTACTGGAGTACAAATTTGATTCTCCTTCTCTGAGAGGGTGCTGGTTTTCATTTCCAAGCACTGGGACCACACAGCTGCTGCTGGATACCCACAAGTGTTTCACAAAAGCAGTCCTGTGTCTGGGGTACCCTCAGCAAGCACTTATAAAATGCTGCATCTTTCTTTTCCCAGGAAAAAAAGATAGTGTTCTGTGCCTGACTAGGAAGTTCTGGTGGTTTTCTTAGTTAGCACATGAGAGGTTGACAGTTGCCAGTCTCCAGTGAAGCTGTCAACAGGTTATACGCAAATAAGAAATTACTTTAACACATACAAAACTTTTCTTTAGAAGAATGCAGACAACTTATATTCAATTTCATTTCAAAATGCTACCGATTTTCATATTTAGAGAAAATAAGTACGTAATACCTCCTGAAATTAACATATGTTCCACAATTGTGTGTGTGTGTGTTTGCACAATCATGCCAATAGTGTATCTCTGTAAGATATACATTTTTTTCTTTTTTGAGACAGAGTCTCACTCTGTCACCCAGGCTGGAGTGCAGTGGCGCGATCTCAGCTCACTGCAACCTCTGCCTCCTGGGTTCAAGCAATTGTTCTGCCACAGCCTCCTGAGTAGCTGGGATTACAAGTGCCTGCCACCACACCCGGCTAATTTTTGTATTTTTAGTAGAGACGGCATTTCACCATGTTGGCCAGGCTGGTCTCGAATTCCTGACCTCGTGATCCATCTGCCTGGGCCTCCCAAAGTGCTGGTATTACAGGCATGAGCCACCATGCCCGGCCACCAATTTATATTCATTGAAAATGTTACCCGCATTCTCGCCAACACTGGGCAATATTAAACTTTTAATCTGATAGGCGAGAAATAGAATCTCATCATTGTTTACATTTGCAGTAACATTAGTGATGAAGTTGAGCCTCTGTTCATGTGTATACCATCATTGATATTTCTTTTTCTATGAACTACTTGTTCAAGTCCTTTGTAGTTTATGTTCAATAGAATTGTTTATCTTTTTCTTATTGATTTGTATGAGCATTTTATATATTAAGAAATTCTGTCTTTGTTGTATGAAATACAACTAATTTCTACTTCCTAATAAATAGTATGGCATTTGTCTACTTCCTTTGTTACTTTGTGCAATTATTATTATTATTATTATTTTGAGATGGAGTCTTGCTCTGTCACCCAGGCTGAAGTGTAGTGGCATGATCTCAGCTCACTGCAACCTCCGCCTCCCGGGTTCAGATGATTCTCATGTCTCAGCCTCCCGTGTAGCTGGGATTACAGTTGCGCACCACTGCGTCTGGCTAATTTTTGTATTTTTAGTAGAGACGGGGTTTCACCATGTTGGCCAGGCTGGTCTCGAACTCCTGACCTCAAGTGATCCACCCACCTCGGCCTCCCAACGTGCTGGAATTACAGGCATGAGCCACCGTGCCTGGCTGGAAAATTTTTATAAAGTCAAATTTATTAATCAATTTTTTCCTTTGTGATGTCTGGAATTTATAGCATATTTAGAAAGAATTTCCATAATTTGGAAAAATCTATACAAATCTACCTGTTTGGTTTATAGTGCACTTGTGGCTTTTTTTTTTGTAGTTAATATTTTTATTTATCTGAAATGTCTTTTGAAATAAGGTAGGAATAAGCATTTTTGTGATTTTTCAAATGACAAGCTATCTTTTTCTACACAGGTATACTTTCATTTGAAACACCAATTTTTGATCTATGGAGTTTTCACATGCATTTGGCATGCAGACTGTGCTTGCAGACTGTGGTGGGCTTGCAGACTGTGGTGCTGGGCAAAAACAGAACTAGTTCCACTTTCTATCAGTCTATTCCTGTACAACACTATATTGTCCTATGTTATTAGCATCATAATATATTGTATTTAACAGATATAACTAGACTCACATCATTTTTTTCTTTAAAAATTTTCAGGCTAATCCTATACTGGTTAATTTTAGAATAATTTTGCCAGGGGAATTTTAGAATTGCATTCATTACTAATTTCAGAATTATTGTTTTAAGCCTTCTTTTCCAAGCATAATGAACTCATGTTTTCCATTTATTCAAGTTTTCTATCATACCCCTATTGCCATCATCCTCATTATTATTTTTGCCCAACCACTTTGGACTGCCTAGCTGCCATCATAATTTTCTAGGCGCAGAGTCACATCAGCCAGTTATACTCATTACCTTTTTTCTTCCACTTTAGTCTTATCTCTTCTTCCACTTCATTGCTTTGACTAAGTATTTATGACAATACAAGGGGCATAAGTAAGTGTCTCCATCTTTCATCTGACTTTACAGGAAATACTTTTAGTTTTTATTACTGAGTAGTAGTTGAGAAACAGGGTTTGGAAATTACCTTACTTGGATTCAAATACCAACTCTATTCCAAATGGATATGTGACTTGGAAAAAGTTCTCAACATCTGTTAAATGGGGATATTAATACTACCAATCTCTGTTTTATTTTTTCCATTTTGTTTGTCAAGTATTGTAATCACTGTTATGTTCATTCATAGTAGAAATTTGGATGCTTCCCATCTTCCTTATAAGTTCCAAACCGTATAAATATCATCAGAATCATGTTTTCTTTGAAAGTGGGAAAAAATATGGGCTTGGCAATTTGGGCAATATCACTTTAGGAATCTTCACAATTTATTTTGCTTTTATTGGTCTCTTTAGGTTTTTTAAAAAAATCTCTTATAAAATCAAATTTTGTGATTTATATTTTCCTAGAAAATCACCTATTTAATCAAGTTTTCAAATTTATTAGCACAAATCAATAACTGTTTAAATCAATAACTGTGTCCTGTCATACTTCTTCTTTCTTTGTACCTGTGGCTATGTCCCGGCACACAGTGCTAAGTTTGTGTGCTTATACCTTCCCTTACCTTGTTTATTAATGAGCCTGGGCAGTTGGTGCAACTCTATCCTGGGATCTATAATGAACAAGCACTGAGATTTGTCAGTTCTATTATTAATTGTTTCCTGGTTCTTAAAATCTTGCTTCTTCTGTATTGACTTTTTCCTTTTTTTCATTTTTTGTTATTTCTTATTTTTCTTATTTCTGAAGATTTTTTATTAGTTTATTATTTCTCACTTAGCAATGTAAAGATTTAAGTCTATGAACTTAACTTTGGGAATAACTATTCATATCTCATAGACTTTAAAAAACAGCTTTATCTAAGTATAATAAAGCATTGGCATACAATAAATAAATAAATTGTGTATATTTAAAGTGTTCAGTTTAAGTTTTTGACATATACACTTTTAACATATACACCCATGAAACCATCACCATAGTTAAGATAATGAAGATATTCATTACCCCAAAGGGTTCCCTGTACCCTTTTTAATTCCTCGTATTTGGCCCCTCTTTGACTTACCTCAATATCCCAAGGGAATCACTAATTTTTTTTCCCTCTCACTATAAATTAGTTTGCAAATTCTAGAATATTATATATATTAAGTTATATACTATGTATTTTTTTAATCTGGCTTTTTTTCTCTCATCATAATTATTTTGAAATGCATCAATGTCATATAGTGTATCAATAGTTAAGTTTTTTTATAGTTGAGTAATTTTCCATTGTATGGAAATGCCAACTTTGCTGAAGTATTCATCTGTTCATAGACATTTGGGTTATTTCCAGTTTGGGGCTATTACAAATAAAGTTGCTGTGAACATAGTGAATACATCTTTGTATGGATATATGCTTTCATTTATTTTGGGTAAGAACCTAGAAGTGAAATGTTTGGATCAGAAGTGTATGACTAACTTTTTTTATTTTATTTTATTTTATTATTATTACACTTTTGAAGAAGTTGCCAAACCTGTTTCCAGAGTGGTCTTGCCATTTTACATTCCCACCAGCAGTGTATGAGAGTTACAGTTGCTTCAGGTTCTGGCCAATACTTGACAAAATAAATCTGTCTAATTCAATCATTCTAATAGATGTGTGATGATACCTCATTGCAGTTTTAATTTGCATTTTCCTAATAACAACTTTTCATGTGCTTATTGATTATATATATATATATATATATAATATTCTTTGGTGAAACATCTTAATCTTCTGTCAATTTTTTTATGGTTTGTTTTCTTATTGTTGAGTTTTAAGAGTTTCTAAATATATTCTGGATAAGATTTTTCATCAGATATATGCTTTATGAATATTTTTTCCAGTTTGGGGTTTGATTTTTTTAATTCTCTTAACAATATATTTCAGAAAACAAAAGATTCTTTGATGAAGCTACATTTATAGTTTTTTTAAGGGTTGTGCTTTTTGTACAATATCTAAGAAATCTTTGCCTAACACAAGGTCACCAAAAAACCTCCTGTTTTCTTGTAGGAGTTTGTAGTTGTAGCTCTTACATTTATATTTGTAATCTATTTATAATTGATTATTTTATATGGTGCAAAGTATAGACTGAAATTATTTTTATTTTTGTATATAGATATCCAATTTGTTGAAAAGACAATCTTTTCTTTACTAAATTGTCTTTCACCTTTGTTGAAAATCAGTTGTTAATATGTGTGTGTGAGGATCTGTTTCTTGGTCTCTTTTTCTGGCTCATTGATCTATTTGTTTATGTTGATTTTTGTAGTGCTATAATCCTTAAAGTCAAGTAGCATAAGTCTTCAACTTTGTTCTTTTTTTACTTTAAATGCTGTTTGACTATTCTAAGTTCTTTATATTTTTATGTGAATTTTAAATCACCTTGTCATTATTTACAAAATCTTTCTGGGATTTTGATTGGGATTGCATTGAACCTAGATAAATTTGAGTAGTTATGCTTTATAAACTTGCCACAAACATTGAATTAGTGAACACTGAACCATTGCTCTTAGGGGAAAGACAAGGCTAGTTTCCTGAGAACATCTGGTTCCACAGAGGTGACCACAATAACCAAAATATTTTTATTAACATATCAACATAAAACCTCGTCTTATGTATGTTTCTGTTTAAAGATATCTTGTTTAATATATGTTTGTGTATATATATCTATTACCAATACATTAACATTGAACAGCCAACAGCACTATAGCTCAGCTTGAAGAAATCCTATCACACATATATTTTTTGTAAAGCACATCATGGCCTTCCTGAACTTAAGAACACTAGACAGCCCTTCAGCATGAAAGCTTGGGGCCATTTTAAATAGTGAATTGCCCCCAGAAGAGCTCAAAAATGTTTAAAACATGGCATGAAATACTGCAAAAAGGACATTTGTTTACAGTGTGAGAGCTGGAGCAAGAAAGCAGAGTGTAGGCTTGTTAAACTCAAGCTGCGAATGTGCACCACAGGAGACCCATCCCTCTCATCTCTCTGTGCCCATCTGCGTGTGACCATGAGAATGCTGCAGCTATTGATCTGAGTGTTACAAATACATTTTAGCAAGCAGGCAAATTGGAAAATATGGAATCTCTGAATTATGAATATCAATTGTATTTCTGCATTGATTTTCTAAAAATTTTGTTTTACATTTTTGTGTCTATAATCACAGGGGATATTGTTCTATAATGTTCTTATAATATCTTTGTTAGAGTTTAGTATTGAGAATTGGCCTTATAGAATGATTTAAGAAGTATATCTTCTTCAATATTCTTGAAGAACTTGTATACAATTCCCATTATTCTTTTCTTAAATATTTGGTAAGGCTGGGTGCTGTGGCTCATGCTTGTAATCCCAGAACTTTGGGAGGCTGAGGCAGGCAGATCACCTGAGGTCAGGAGTCTGAGACTAACCTGGCCAACATGGTGAAACCCCATCCCTACTAAAAATGCAAAAATTAGCCAGGTGTGGTGGTGGCTGGCACCTGTAATCCCAGCTACTCAGGAGGCTGAGGCAGGAAAATCGCTTGAACCAGGGAGGCAGAGGTTAAAGTGAGCTAAGGTAATGCCATTGCACTCCAGCCTGGGTGACAGAGTGAAACTCTGTCTAAAAAAAAAAAAAAAAAGAATATGACATGGCTGCTTCTAACAGCTTAAACTCAGATATGGGAGTAAAGGAATGATTTAAAGTTGAAACATATTTAAAAGGGAAGCAAAGCATAAAAGTTTGGAAAATTCACAGCCTAGCCCTGTGGTAGACAAAGAATCCAAGCAGGCTGCAGAGCAACCACTTACTAGAGAGATTAGCATGACTAAAAGGGAGCCAAGTGTTAATACCCAAGGCAATGGGAAAAAGGCCTCGAAGGCATTTCAGTTATCTTCAAGGCAGCTCCTCCTATCACAGGCCCAGAGGCCTAGGAGTAAAGAATGGATTCAGGGGCCAGGCCCAGGGCCCTGCTGCCCTGTGCAGTCTCAGGACACTGCTTCTCACATCCTGGCTGTCCCAGCTTCAGCCTTAGTTCAAAGGGCTCCAGATAGTACTCAAGCTGCTGCTTTGGAGACTGCAAGCTGCCATAAGCCTTAGTGGCTCCCACATGGTGTTAAGTCTATGGTAGCATGGAAAGCAAGAGTGAAGGGGGCCTGGCAGCTTCCCCTTAGATTTCAGAGGATGTATGAGAAAACCTGGGTGACCAGGCAGAAGCCTGCCACAGGGGTGGAGCCCTCACAAAAAACCTCTACTAGGGCAGCACAGAGGGAAAATGCAGGGTGAGAGCCCCCACAGAGACTCTACCAGAGTACTGCTTAGTGGAGCTTGGGGAAAGGGACTGCCACCCTCCAAACCCAAGAATGGTAGATCTAACAGAAGCTTGCATCCTGAGCCTCGAAAAGCTACATGTACTCAACTCCAACCCATGACAGCAGCCATGGTCATGTACACTGCAAAGTCACAAGGGGCAGAGCTGCCCAAGGCCTTGAAGGCCCACCTCATGTGCCAGAGTGCCCTGGATGTGGGAAATGGAGTCAAAGGAGATTATTTTGGGGCTTTAAGTAAAGAAAAGGAATCACTTTCTTTTTTCATCCATGCAAAAGAAAGTGATAGAGTGATCCATCCATCACTTTTTTTTTTTTTGACTGTCCTTTGAAGATTTGAAGCCAGGCATTGACTTTTCTCTAGCTATGAAAGTCCCAGATGGCATGTTCTTCCAATTTAAGGTAGTTTCATCTACACTGGAAATCTGTGGCCACCTTTATCAATAATCTTAGCTAGATTTTCTGGATAACTTGCTGCAGCTTCTACATCAGTACTTGCTGCTTCACCTTACATTTGTATCTTACAAAGACAGCTTTTTTCCCCCCCTAAATACCGTGAACCAGTATCTGCCAGCTTCAAATTTTCCTGCAGCTTTCTTGCCTCTCTCAGCCTTCACAGAATTGAAGAGAGTGAGGGTCTTTCTCTGGATTAAATTTTAGCTTAAGGGAATGTTGTGGTCATTTTGATCTTTTTTCCAGATCATTACAACTTTCATCAGCAATAAGGCTATTTTACTTTCTTATCATTCATGTGTTCACTGGAGTAGCACTTTTAATTTCTTCCAAGAACTTTTCCTTTGCATTCACAACTTGACTAGTGATTTGGTTCAATAAGCTTACCTTTCTGCCTATCTTGGCTTTTGACATACCTTCCTCATTCAGCTTAATCATTTCCAGCTTTTGATTTAAAGTGAGAGACCTGTGACCCTTTTTTTTTAACTTGAACACTTAGAAGCCATTAGGGTTATTAATCGGCCTAATTTCAATATTGTCATGTCTCAGGGAATAAAGAGACCCAAGGAGAGGGAAAGAGAGGGGAAAATGTTCAATGGAGGGAGCACTCAGAACACACACATTTACCAGTTAAGTTCACTGTCTTGTATGTGTATGGTTTGTGATGCCCAACAAAAATTACAGTAGTTCCATCAAAGATCACCGATCATAGATCACTATCACAGATATAGTAATAATAAGAAAGTTTGAAATGTTGCGAGAATTACCAAAATGTGACACAGAGACACAAATTGAGCAGTATATGCTTTGGGAAATATGGCGTCAATAGGCTGTTCAGAGTAGAGTTACCACAAACCTTGTAAAAAGAAGTTTGTAAAAAAAATAACGTAATATCTGAGAGGTGCAATAAAGGAAAGCACCATCAAATGAACTCTGACTGCATTTCATTGATTTTTAATATGTAGGTTTTTTGTTATTATTGTTTTCTTGATAATCTGATTTTTTAAAATTATACCATTCTTTTTTAGCCAAGAAAGTTATCTTTAAATATTTGGCTTATTAGGTTTTCCTGAAATGTTTGGCATTATTGGTTTTTATATTTATGTATTTATTGAGACAGAATCTACTTCTGTGGCCCAGGCTGGAGTGCAGTGGCACAATCTCGGTTTACTGCAGCCTCTGCCTCCCAGGTTCCTCCTGCCTCAGCTTCCCAAGTAGCTGGGACTACAGGCATGCACTACCATGCCCTGCTAATTTTTGTATTTTTAGTACAGACAGGGTTTCACCATGTTGACCAGGCTGCTCTCAAACTCCTGACCTCAAGTGATCCACCTGCCTCAGCCTCCCAAAGTGCTGGAATTACAGGCATGAGCCACTGTGCCCAGCATTTTTTATTTATTTTTTTATTGAGGTAAAATTTACAGACAAAATTAAGCATTTTAAGGTAGACAATTTTGTGGCATTTAGTACATTCACAATGTTTTGCAAACACTAACTCTATCTAGTTCCAAAATATTTTCATTACGCCAAATAAAATCCTATATCCATGAGGCACCTACTCCCCATTACTCACTCTCTCCAGCCCTTGACAATCACCATTCTGCTTTCTGTACCTCTGAATTTACCTATTCTGAACATTTCATGTAATTGAGTCATATGACCAACGTGTGAACTTTTGTGTCTGGCTTCTTTCACCTGGCATAATCTTGTATAATATCTGGGCAATGAAATAATCTGTACAACAAAACTTCATGGCACAAGTCTATGTAACAAACCTGCATTTGTACCCCTGAACTTAAAATATAAGTTAAAACAAAGAAAAAAAAGAGACTTACAGAAAGAAGAAGAAAAAAGACTGAATTATGGATGGGTGGATGGATGGATGGATGGATGGATAGGTCAATGAAAAGATGGAAGGCTCATTAAAATTCTGTTTATCACTAAACATACCTGTTCAGAAAAAGTGTAGCGATGTTTACATTATGTGATATGCCACAAGATGAATTCTGTTCATATCCATTATTAATCCATTCATCCACTGATGGATGTTTGGGTTGTTTCTATCTTTTGACTATTGTGAATAGTGCTGCTCTGAATGTTCATATAGAGAGTAATCTGCATACCTGTTTTCAATTCTCTTAGGTATGTCCCTAAGTGGAATTCCTGGGTCATCTGGTAAGCCTATGTTTGACTTACCATGAAATATTTATTCACAGTGACTGAATCATTTTACATTTCCCCCAGTAATACTTGAGAGTTCCAACTTGTAGATATCCTTGCCAACACTTATTTTTCATTTTATTGATTGTAGACATCCTAGTGGGTTTGAAGTGGTATTTAATTTTGGTTTTGATTTGGATTTTCCTAATGACAAATGTTGTTGGTCACCTTTTCATGTGCTTAATGTCCATTTTTAGATATTCTTTGGAGAAATACTAAGTCCTTTGCCCATTTTAAAATGGTCTTTTCAGTTGAATTTCAATTCTTTATATACTCTAGATATTAATCCCTTATCAGAGATGTGATTTGAAAATATTTCTCCTATTCTGTAGATTGTCTTTTCATTTTCTTGATAATATTCTTGGATGTTAAAAATTTTTGTCTTTATATGTCCAGTTTGTCTACTTTTTCTTTTGTTCCATGTGCTTTCAGTATCATATCTAAGAACCCACTGTCAAATCCAAAGTCATGAAGGTTTGTCCCTATATTTTCTTCTGAGAGTTTTGTAGATTTAGCTCTTACCTTTAGATTGATGGTTCATTCTGAGTTCAGTTTTGTTTAGTGATTCAACTTCATTCTTTTGCATGTGAATATCTGGTTGTTCCAGCACCATTTGTTGAAGGGATGATTCTTTCCCTAAATGAATTATCTTGGTACCCTCTTTTAAAAATTATTAATTTCTTGTTTATTTTATTTTATTTTATTTTATTTTATTTTATTTTATTTTATTTTATTTTATTTTATTTTATTTTTGATGAAGGCTCGCTCTGTCGCCCAGGCTGGAGTGCAGTGACCCAATCTCGGCTCACTGCTGGGACTACAGATGCCTGCCACCACACCAGGCTTATTTTTTGTACGTTTTTAGTAGAGACGGGGTTTCACTGTGTTAGCCAGGATGGTCTCGATCTCCTGACCTTGTGATCTGCCCGCCTCGGCCTCCCAAAGTGCTAGGATTACAGGCATGAGCCACCGTGCCCGGCCAATTTCTTGTTTATTTTCATGTTAGATATTGAATATGGTCTGCACAAGTTTCTTTTCTGTGATTAAAAAATTTTTGTTGTCTCTTTGTGGTCAATTTTTATAAATGTTGAAGATGCTTAAAAGTAGGTGTGTATGTCTGTTTGTAAGATACAGAAATTTGAGTACATATAGTACACAACCTTATATCACATATAATAAAAATATTAGTAGTACTGCTTAAATTCTCTATATTTCTTATTTTGCTAAGTAGTCTTAATTAGTGATGGATTGAAAAAGATGAGTTAATATTTACTATTATACTTTTTGGTGTGTATTTATTTTTGTATTTTCAGTAGCTTTTTCTGTGTATTTTTGTTGATATATTATCTGAGCATAAAGGTTCCTGACATTTTTACATTTATTGTGAAATACTTTCTGCATCATTAAACAATGAGTTCATTTAGGATTTTTCATGTCTTTTGCCTAAAATTAAAATTTGCCTGCTTATTAATACAACAATCCCCACTTAAGTTTGTTGGCATTTGTTTGCTTTATCTTTGTCTAACCTTTAATTTATAACTTTGTAATTTTTTAACATATCTTTTACTTTTGGCATGTAATTAGCTTTTGGATCAAACAAAGAAATTATTTTTTAACAGATTTTATATTTCTATTTATATTTGTATTTCTAACAGATATGCTTGATACATGTGCTTCCTTTTCTCTCTCTCTGTGTGTGTGTATATGTGTATGTGTGTGTGTTTAGTGAAGTGGTGTGTATGTGTATGTGTGTGGTTTAGTGAAGTGGTATGTATAGAAAGTGGTGCACTTACTTTTCTCCTGGTAATTTGAAAGTATTATTGTCTGTTTGTTACAGACTGAATGTTTGTGCCCCTCTAAAATTCATATGCTGTAGCCCTAACACCCAAGATGATGATATTTGGGAGGCGAGCCTTCGTGTGGTAATTATTTTTAGATGAGTTCATGAAAGTGGGACCCTCACGATGGAATTAGCATCCTTATAAAAAGAGGAAAAGAGACCAGAGATCTCTCTCCACACCACCACCATAAGAGAACACAGCAAGAAGGTGGCTGTCTGCAAGCCAGGAAGAGAGCCCTCACCAGGGAACCAAATCAGTAGCACCTTAATCTTGGACTTCCAGCCTCCAGAGCTGTCAGAAATAAATTGCTTTTGTTTAAGCTATCCAATGCTTGACATTTTTTTTATGGCAACCAAATTTACTAAGACACTCTTCTAGTGTTATCTTTGTAAATTTGGAGATATATGTCATCTTTATTAATTCATAACTTTTAGTATCAACTATTCTTACATCATGAAAGATTAGATATTTAGTCTTGATAGATCAAATATTCAACAATATGAATTCTAGTTTTGGAATTCTCCATTAAAGGTGCAATTGATTGGATTTGTCATCATGTTTTTTTAAGGATGAATAGGTACTATATGCACTAAGAATACATACTTTAAGAATAGCTTTCTTTCGTCTTTTATGTGAAGAATAAATTGACTACATGCATAAGTTTGGAGTCTGACTTTTCCTTCTCAGAATTATCTATATATTTCTTCACTGTGTTCTTCCATTGAAAATAACTATTTGGGGAAATCTGAGGTCAGTCTATTTTTCTTCTTCTAAGTAACTTGGCTTTTTTCTCACATTTTAATCTTTAACGTTTTGAACACCATCAGGACTTCAAATATTTTTTTCTTCCATGCTGAATTTTCTTAACTTGCTTTTCTATATATTTTATTCTCTCCAAAACTTTTTTTTTACTTCTTCATTTTGCTTATGTGATCTTTTTAAAGCTGTTCTTCTTACATTGAATCTATTTCCAGCAATCTCTATTTTTATTCCTGCTGCTTCTATTGTGGTTTTCATTTCTGTAACAGTTCTATTGTTATCTTGAATTTTCTTAATCTTCCAACTCACTTTTAACCTTTTTAACTTGTCTTAAAAAAATTTTTTTTGGCTGCATGTGTGGTGGCTTATGCCTATAATTCCAGTGCTTTGAGAGGCTGAGGTGGGAGGATCACTTGAATCCAGGAGTTTGAGATCAGCCTGGGCAACATAGTGAGACCCCACAGTGAGACAAACATTTTTTAAAAATAGCCAAGTGTAGTGGTGCGTGCCTGTAGTTCCAGCTACTTCCAAGGCTGAGATGGCTTAAGTCTGGGAGATTGAGGCTGCAGTGAGCCATGATTATCACCATACTCCAGCTGGGGTGGCAGAGTGAGACCGTGTTTCAAAAACAAACAAACAAAAAACAAAATAAGTAATCTCCTCTGTGATTTTTTCCCCAGTGTCCATGTTTTTCTTTAATTTCTTTAACACTGTAGATTACAATAATTTGAAATTTTTTTTGATGCTTGGAACAATTTTTATCTTGAAATGTATTTTAGTATTATGATATTTATTTACTTTCTCCCATTTTTTTCTCTCTCTCCCTCTCTGAGTAGCAGTGACAGAGGTGAGGGTAGTATTTATGTGCAGCACTGAACATTTTGGGCTTATAAGTCATCTTTGAAAGAGGGAAATTCCATTCAGGTCTATAATGATTTTCATGAACAGAGTGTCCAGATGCTAGAGAGCACAGAGGGTTAGATGGAAACTTCAGCGCAAGTCTGTTTCCTTAGAACAGTTTGTCAGCACATTGCTGAGTCATCTGCCCTTGGGGGCATTCCTTAATATCCTCCAGTCTTTACTCAGCCACATCCCTGGGTGGGAGCCTTTATGTCCCACAGGCCCCTTGTTTGGTGATGTGTATTTGCCTGTGTTTTTTCAGATGACTGTGTTCCACAGCTGCATAACTGTGTACCACTTGTCCCAGGATGTGTGTTCCCCATTTCTCAGGGTAAGTCAACATGATTATATATATCCAGACTCTTCCAATTTCTCTCTTGTCTAATTTTGTTTTTATTCCCTTTTTTCTGTACATCATTTCCATCCATCATTTTTCCTTCTTTGCCTGTTCATTTGAGTGCATAATGTAGAGATAATCATTCCTGTGACATATGGGCTCAAATGCCAAAATTTAATCACCTGTACTCCTAACTTTCCCATCCACTTTTTTTTATAGACCATGTGTTTTCTATTTTATGCAGTTTGCCTGGATTTTACACCATCTCCCAAATTCCCAGATGGATCTTAATATTTGCCTTAAAATATACAAGCGTTTTTGTGTCTCATCTTCATTTTCACATCATGCCTAAGACATGAAATTTTATTTGCTCTGCTTAAGTTTATAGTTTCGAAGAATCCTAAGATTATTAGTTTATAGGAACTATAAGCTTATAGTTCGTAAGAGCCCTAAGAATCCCCAAGTTGTCAAAAATTGAGTATAATACAATTGTTTCCACAGAATCAGTGGTAGAGAAAGGGAGTTAAGAGATGTACTATTTGATACTTGATGTTTATAGACATTTTCTCATAAAGAATTTGTATTAATATTTTAAATGAATGTATTTTATGTTTTTCTAGGTAAAAGTCTTATCAAATAATAATTTGTAAAATGATAAAAACATAATTCTCCTTCAAGTATATAAAGTGTAGAGTCAGTGCATACCTAACATTAAAAATTATTTTTATTTTTATTATTATTATTATTCTTGATGGACAAATCATACCTAACATTAATGAGGGAATCGGCAAGATGACAAATGTGATTCAAAGGAGAATGTAAGGGTCTTATGTAGATATGGTCAGTGAAAGAAAGGCTGCTGGAATATGATGTCTAAGTTAGATGAAAAGAAGAGGTTAATACTTTACCTGACAATACAGCCCTAACCTCTGGAGTTTTTAATTTTTTAATTTTTTAAAATAAAAAACAGCTTTAAAGAGGTATAATTGATATAAAATAAGTGTGCATATTTAAAATTTACATTTAATACTCTACTGACATTTGTATGCACTTATGGAACCATCATCATAACCAAGATAATGATCATACACATCATCCCCAAAAGTTTTCTCATTTCCCTTTGGAATCACTCCCTCTCACCATGTCCCATGCACCCACATCCATAGACAGCCACTGGTCTGTTTTCTGCCACTATAAGTTAAATAGCATTTTGTAGAAATTTATAAAAATAAAAGATGAGTATACACATTGGTTTTGATCTGAATTC